>NC_000001.11:244668970-244820485 GCF_000001405.40 Homo sapiens | reverse complement strand
AATAATTATTTTTCACAAAAGGTGTTTTTAAATTGGCTTTGATGGAACTCTGTTCCACAGAAGGAATCTTAGATAAGACTTTTTCAGAGCCGAGCCCTGCCATGGGTTTGTATCCTCAAATACCTGTGGGATGAGTACATTCCTCCCATCTTGGGATCCCAGATAACTTGGGGCTCCTGGGCCTGTTGGAAAGTGACATTCTTTACTTCCCATGGGTCAGAAACCCTGTACAGGGACTGTGTGGGCAAGGTATGAGGCCTGTTTTCCCAAGGGGCTTTTATTGGCTCTGTAAGTCAAGTTTAATTCCTTAAAGGAAAAACACACCATTCCGGTTAAAGCCTTGGTAAAATAACCAGCTTTTCCACTTGTGTCCGGTTACAAAAGAAAAATTATTGTTGCAATTAGGCAAATAACTATATTGCCATAAGTTAAGAATACTCTCTAGTTTGCAAATTCTGGAGAAAGCAGGTACAGAGAAACAAATATGCTCCAAAGTTTGTTCATAGGAGTATATTTTACTCAATTGTTAAAAAATGCAGGCCAGACGCGGTGGCTCACACCTGTAATCCCAGCACTTTGGGAGGCCGAGGTGGGCAGATCACGAGGTCAGGAGATCGAGACCATCCTGGCTAACACAGTGAAACCCCGTCTCTACTAAAAATACAAAAAATTAGCCAGGCATGGTGGTGGGTGCCTGTAGTCCCAGCTACTCGGGAGGCTGAGGCAGGAGAATGGTGTGAACCCCGGGAGGTGGAGTTTGCAGTGAGCCGAGATCACGCCACTGCACTCCAGCTGGGGCGACAGAGCAAGACTCCGTCTCAAAAAAAAAAGAAAAAAATGCAAATAGCTCAAAAGAAAAGTTTTCTTGACTCTGAAAAGCAAAACAAAGGATCAATAATATTTTAAGCAAAGTCAAAAAGATGACTTCAGAATTACTGACTTGAGCTGCTGCAGTTATCTCCTGCTGTGTTTGATATTCACGGACATTCCAGTTCTCTGTGAGAGTTCTGAAAGTTTTTTCCTCTATTTTAATATCACAATTTCCAAAGTTATCAGAAACCTGCATTTAAGAATACCTGTTAGAGTTCTCTAGTTGATTATAAACCACCTTTTAAAGAGTATTAAGACAACAATTGTCTGTGGATGGCAAAATGTCTTAGGACAGCCACAGTCAAAAACATGATTGACAAAGGATGTTTTTCTTTGGCCTGATTATTTGTATAAAGTGCAGCAAGAATAACTATTTTTCACATAAGCTTTTTTTTTTTGCTTTTTTTTTGAGATGGAGTCTCGCTCTGTCGCCCTGGCTGGAGTGCAGTGGTGCTATCTCAGCTCACTGCAAGCTTTGCCTCCCGGGTTGACGCCATTCTCCCGCCTCAGCCTCCCAAGTAGCTGGGACTACAGGCGCCCGCCACCACGTCTGGCTAATTTTATTGTATTTTTAGTACAGATGGGGTTTCACTGTGTTTGCCAGGATGGTCTCGATCTCCTGACCTTAAGATCTGCCTGCCTCGGCCTCCCAAAGTGCTGGGATTACAGGCGTGAGCCACCACGCCTGGCCCACATAAGCTGTTTTTAAATTGGCTTTGATGGAACTCTGTTCCATAGAAGAAATCTTAGATAAGACTTTGGTTTTTTGGTTACCTCTGTGGCATACAATGATTTTCTGTAACAATTATAATTATTAATAACATATACTAAGTCATATCAGAATTATAGGAATTTCCTATTATTTTGGAACATATGCCAATAACACATTTATACAAATACAGCCCAAAGAAAAGCAAACACCGTTTCATATTTGACAATGTTTCCTGTATGAGTTTTGTACCAAATAAGCCGAATTTCACCTTTACATTAGTGTACTATTAATGTTAAACCCAATTCTTTTTTTTTCCCCTTTTTGAGACAGAGTCTGGCTCTGTTGCCCAGGCTGGAGTGCAGTGGTGCAATCTTGGCTCACTGCAACCTCCACCTCCTAGGTTCAAGCGTTTCTCTTGCCTCAGCCTCCCGAGTAACTGGGATTACAGGCACGTGCCACCGTGCCCAGCTAATTTTTTGTATTTTTAGTAGAGATGGGGTTTCACCATGTTGGCCAGGCTGGTCTTGAACTCCTGACCTCAAGTGATCCTCCCGCCTTGGCTTCTCAAAGTGTTGGGATTACAGGCGTGATTCACTGCACCCAGCCAAACCCAATTCTTAATAAAACCCTATAGACACATTTACCCAATTTTAATGTTTGACCCTAAGGTAAGATTCTCATAAACTTTTTATAACCCTTTACAATTTTTGTTAAAGAGCAGATCATAAGCAGATTTTTGCTTCAGGAAAAACCTGTTGTGTTTTTTTCCAATGTTTAATTTATGCAAAAACTGAATAATACCCAACTTTAGCCAATATGTTCATACACAGCAAGGTAGGTAAACTGAACAATTTCCAAAAGTCAAAGAAGCAGTTTATAACCTCAAAGCATTTAGCAAACATCTGACCTGCATAAGTTAGACCAAATATTTACATTTTTGAAGATATTTTTATTTTACCAATAATCTTTAAAACTGTTTCCCAAAGATTACTTAAGTCACATGAACTAAAAGGCATTATACTTTATACTTTTCTGTCAAAATATTTGATTTAAGCACTTGTTTTTAAGCCAATCAACCCAAGCTCTTTTATATGTAAACGTCACACACACGACACACATAAATACGCAGACAGACAGAAGATAAAGGACTCATTCCTCAAGCCAGGAATTGGACCCTGAACCCAGGCTGCCACTGTGGAAAGAGAAAGCACAGCCACATGGTTACAAGGTCGAGCTCCCAAGGACATACAAGACAAGAAGGGAACCTCATCCAGTTTTTTTCAGGGACCTGCAGCAAAGTTTTTGTTTGTTTGTTTGTTTTGAGACGGAATCCCACTCTGTCGCCCAGGCTGGAGTGCAGCGGCGTGATCTCGGCTCACTGCAACCTCCATCTCCTGAATTCAAGCGGTTCTCCTGCCTCAGCCTCCTGAGTAGCTGGGATTACAGGCGCTCACCACCACGCCCAGCTAATTTTTGTATTTTTAGTAGAGACGGAGTTTCACCATGTTGGTCAGGCTGGTCTCGAACTCCTGACCTTGTGATTTGCCCGCCTCAGCCTCCCAAAGTGCTGGGATTACAGGCGTGAGCCACCGCACCCGGCCGAAGTTTTTAACTGACCAGTGTGCTGGGCCGTCTCTGAACAGCGGGCTTATAGGTGTCCTAGGCCCTCATTCTGTCCTAAGATACTCCTCTCCATCACAGAACACAGAAAGACAGGCAAAGCACACCAGATTCACTACAGTTTAAGATTAGCCTCGCAAATCCTTTCTTCCATTCATCAAAACTTCATAGAGGAGATAAACAGTGATTTTTACCATTTAACCCATTTGCACAGAGAGAGAGGAATGCATTGCCTGAGGCAGGGTGGGGAAGGTGAGGAAGGTGAGGAAGGTGAGGTGCTCGGGGAGGCCAGAGAAAGACCCACCCATTGCAGTGACACTGAAAAGTCCAGGCGGCTGCTTGTCGGTCGTGAAGGGATCTTTTCCAGAAGTCCCATCAGCTCTCAAGTTTCCCCTTTTAGGGAGAAAAAAGCTCCCTATGTCCCACGATCCTGTACACGCTTAATGCTGTCACCCACAGCCATCAGCAAAGAGTGCAAGGCAGATTAATCTAAAGAGAACAGCAGTTAACATCCCATAGTGCCAAACCCGTTCTTAGCTGAAAGGGACTTTACTGAGAGGGGCCTCTAACCCCCTAAATCTTGGAAGGGACTCCAACCCTCCTAAGTTGGGCTTCTAACCCAAGGTCGGTCAAGCGTCCTTGCCTTTTGTTTTTTTTTTGTTTTTTGGAGGCCGAATTTTGCTTTTGTTGCCCAGGCTGGAGTGCAGTGGTGCAATCTCGGCTCACTGCAACTTCTGCTTCCTGGGTTCAAGCGATTCTCCTGCCTCCTGAGTAGCTGGAATTACAGGCACCTGCCACCACGCCCGGCTAATTTTTTGTATTTTTAGTAGAGACGGGGTTTCACCGTGTCCTTGCCTTTTATTAAGAGGGGCCTCTATCCCACTCTGTCTTAGGAGAGACTCTAATTCCCCTAAATTGGGCCTCTAATCCCATCCCACCCTTTACCAGAGTACTCCACCACTTACCCAAAGTCGGCCAATCAGTGCTCCAGTCTATTTCCTTTGGGTCGGGGGTTTCTTCAGTATCGTCCCTTCCATGATTTGCCAGAAAGATGTTACTGAACCCCATCACTTACCCAAAGTTAGCCTTTGGTTTTTTGTTGTTGTTGTTTGTTGTTGTTGTTTTTGAGACAGAGTCTTGCTCTGTCGCTCAGGCTGGAGTGCAGTGGTGCGATCTCAGCTCACTGCAACCTCTGTCGCTGGGGTTCAAGCGATTCTCCTGCCTCAGCCTCCTGAGTAGCTGGGATTACAGGTGCGTGCCACCACACCGGGCTCAAAGTTAGCCTTTGGGTCGGGTGTTTCCACACTATAGTCTCTTCCGTGATCACCAGAAAGATGTTACTGAAAAGCGGTCCCGACCCAGACCCCAAGAGAGGGTTCTTTGATCTCGTGCAACAAATAATTCAGGGCAAGTCTGTAAAGTGAAAGCAAGTTTATCAGGAAAAGTAAAGGAATAAAAGAATGGCTACTCCAGAGAGAGAGCAGCCGCGAGGGCTGCGGGTTGCCCATTGTCATTGTTATTTCTTGATGATATGCTAAACGAGGGGTGGATTATTCATGCTTCCCCTTTTTAGACCACAGAGGGTAACTTCCTGATGTTGCCGTGGCATTTGTAAACTGTCTTGGAGCTAACAGGAGTGTAGCAGTGAGGACGACCAGAGGTCACTCTCATGGCCATCTTGGGTTCGGTGGGATTTGGCCGGCTTCTTACTGCAACTTGTTTTATCAGCAAGGTCTTTATGACCTGTATCTTTTTTTTTTTTTTTTTTGAGACAGAGTCTTGCTCTGTCACCCAGGCTGGAGTGCAGTGGTGGGATGTCGGCTCACTGCAACCTCCGCCTCCAGGGTTCAAGCAATTATCCTGCCTCAGCCTCCTGAGTAGCTGGGACTACAGGCGCGACCACCACACCCAGCTAATTTTTTGCATTTTAGTAGAGACAGGGTTTCACCATGTTGGTCAGGCTGGTCTCGAACTCCCAACCTCAGGTGATCCGCTTGCCTTGGCCTCCCAAAGTGCTGGGATTACAGGTGTGAGCCACTGCGCCCGGCCAGCATATGACTTGTATTTTTTGCCAACCTCCTATCTCATCCTGTGACTTAGAATGCCTAACAGGCTGGGGATGCAGCCCAGTAGGTCTCAGCCTCATTTTACGCAGCCCCTATTCAAGATGCAGTTGCTCTGGTTCAAACACCTCTGACACCACCTCCGCCTCCTGGGTAGCTGGGACCACAGGCGCGCCACCACGCCTGGCTAATTTTTGTATTTTTAGTAGAGACAGGGTTTCCCCATGTTGTCCAGGCTGGTCTCAAACTCCTGGCCTCAAGTGAAATGCCTGTGTCGGCCTCACAAACTGCCAGGATTACAGATGTGAGCCACTGCACCCGGTCACCTATAAAAATTTATAATCCAGCCCATGGAAGATCTGCCCCTCCCTCAAAAAGAAAGTTTTTCACTGAGTGTAGCTACAGTTTTCTCCGGTGGGTTTCACTCACTCATTTCATTCATTTACTTAAAGATGTATTTTAGAGCTGGGCACAATGGCTCATGCCTGTGTGAAGGGAAAATACATCTCGTGGTCCCAAAATGACTAAGCTAAAGGGAAAAGTCAAGCAGGGCAACCTGCCCCCTATTCTATTCAAAGTCACCCCTCTGCTCACTGAGATAGATGCATATCTGATTGCCTCCTTTGGAGAGGCTCATCAGAAACTCAGAAGAATGCAACTGTTTGTCTCCCATCTACTGTGACTTGAAGCCCCTCCTTGCTTGGAGTTGTCCCGCTTTGTCCAGCCTTTCCAGACTGAACCGATGTTCATCTTACACATATTGATTGAGGTCTCATGTCTCCTAAAATGTAGAAAACCAAACTCTCCCCCTACCACCTTGGCCACACGGTGTCAGGAACTCCCAAGGTTCAGTTTAAGAGGCTGTGTCACGGGTGTGCATCCTCAACCTTGGCAAAATAAACTTTCTAAGTTTACTGGAACCTGTCTCAGATTTTCAGGGTTCACACCTGTAATCCCAGCTACTCAGGAGGCTGAGGTGGGAGGATCGCTTGAGCCCAGGAGTTTGAGGCAGCAGTGAGCTATGATCATGCCTCTGCACTCCAGCCTGGGCAACAGAGTGAGACCCTGTCTCAAAAACAACAACAACAACAAAAAAAAAAAACAGCAACAACAAGTCCCAGTGGCTCACGCCTATAATCCCAACACTTTGGGAGGCCGAGGTAGGTGGATCACAAGGTCAGGAGTTTGAGACCAGCCTGGCCAACATGGTGAAACCCCGTCTCTACTAAAAATACAAAAATTAGCTGGGCGTGGTGGCATGCACCTGTATTCCCAGCTACTTATGAGGCTGAGGCAGGAGAATCACTTGAACCCAGGACGTAGAGGTTGCAGTGAGCCGAGATAAAGAAAAAAAAACTCGATCGTCTGCTATGTGCCTAGCACTCCTCTAAGGGTACAGCAGTGGACAAGACAGACACACTCAGTCCCCCCTTTCAGGAAGCTGATGGGCGATGGGCAAAGGCAAGTAAAAGTTTTGAGATGATGTGTTGTGCTATGAAATGCCACCATCTTAGGCTGGCGCTCTCTCTTTTTCTCCGTTAGATTTTCACTCTGGGAGAAGCTCGGTACCATGTTGTAAGCAGTCCTATGGAGAGCCCAGTGGCAAGGCCTCCTGCCAGTAATCAGCAATAAACCTGAGCCTGCTGACAACCATGCCAGTGAGCTTGGGAGCTGGTCCTCCACCCCGGCAAGCCTGAAGAGGACCCTATCCCTGTGACAGACCTTGAGCAGGAGCTGTCCAGCTTAGCTGCTCCAGGATTCCCAACCCTCAGAGACTGTGTGCGATGATAAATGCTTGTTGTTTTAAGCTGCTAAATTTGGATGTAATTTGTTCGGCAACATTGAAGAACTACAGTTCTTGACTCTCTTGTTCAATTGTCCTATCCACATCCTTGGTAACCTTCCATCAGTGGAATGAGCCTGGACCTTCTCGTGAGCTCAGAACCAGGCTGCTGAGTATTGCTGGAAAATTTCACAAAACGGGGCATGTCGTTTTCATGTCCACCCATGTCATTTGGATCCTCGACACTGCTTCACAGTGTTTTCTAGTGAACTCTCTCATTTTCAAATATTCTCCTTTTTTTTTCTTAATTTTTAAATTTTTCTTTTTGAGTCAGAGTCTTGCTCTATCACTCAGGATGGAGTGCAATGGTGCGATCTTGGCTCACTGCAGCCTCCACCTCCTGGGTTCAAGCGATTCTCCTGCCTCAGCTTCCCGAGTAGCTGGAATTACAGGTGTGTGCCACCATACCTGGCCTCAAGTGAGCCTCCCATCTCAGCCTCCCGAAGTGTTGGGATTACAGGCGTGAGCCACCATGCCTGGGCTGTTTTTTTTTGTTTGTTTGTTTTTTGTTTTTTGTTTTTTTGACAAGGTCTTGTTCTGTTGCCTAGGCTGGAGTGTGCAGTAACCCGATCATAGCTCACTGAAACCTTGAATTCCTGGGCTCAAGCAATCCTCTCACCTCAGCTTTCTGACTGGCTGGGACCACAGGTATGCACCACCACACGTGGGTAGTTTAAAAAAATTTCTTGGCCAGGCGTGGTGGCTCACGCCTGTAATCCCAGCATTTTGGGAGGCCGCGGTGGGTGGATCATGAGGTTGGGAGTTTGAGACCAGCCTGGTCCACATGGTGAAACCCCATCTCTACTAAAAATACAAAAATTGGCTGGGCGTGGTGGCAGGTGCCTGTAATCTCAGCTACTCGGGAAGCTGAGGCAGGAAAATCTCTTGAACCTGGGAGGCGGAGGTTGCAGTGAGCCAAGATCATGCCATTACACTCCAGCCTGGGCGACAGAGCAAGACTCCATAAAAAAAAAAAAAAAATTTGTAGAGACAGTCTCATCATGTTGCTCAGGCTGGTTGCAAACTCCTGGGCTCAAGTGATCCTCTCACGTTGGCCTCCTGAGTCACTGGGACTACAGGCCTGTGCCACCACACCTGGCTCCACTGTTTCTGGCCTCAGGCCTCTTTGCCTCTACTCCATTTTTTTTTTTTGAGATGGAGTCTCCCTCCGTCACCCAGGCTGGAGTGCAGTGGTGTGATCTCGGTTCGCTGCAACCTCCACCTCCTGGGTCTAAGCGATTCTCATGCCTCAGCCTCCCAAGTAGCTGGGATTACAGGCGTGTGCCACCACACCCAGCTAATTTTTGTATTTTTAGTAGAGATGAGGTTTCACTATGCTGGCTAGGCTGGTCTCGAACTCCTGACCTCAAGTGATTCATCTGCCTTGGCCTCCCAAAGTGTTGGGATTACAGGCATGAGCCACCATGGCCGGCCTCACTTCCACTCTTAGTGGATGTCCTCACCATCCAGTCAAGAGGGAAAAGAAAAGCCATCTGCCAGGAGTATGCCCCATCACTCACCTTTGACTACCTGTGCCCTCACTCACTTTCTTTCTTTCTTTTTTTTTTGAGACAGGGTCTCCCTCTTTCACCCAGGCTGGAGTGCAGTGGTGCAATCATAGCTCACTGCAGCCTCAAACTCCTGGGCTCAAGGAATCCTCCCACCTCAGCCTCCCAAGTAGCTGGAACTACATCACGCAAAACCAGTTTGTATTTTGCTTGTGTAGAGACAGTGTCTTGCTATGGTGCAGGCTGGTCTCAAACTCCTGGTCTCAACCTATCCTTCCACCTCGGCCTCCTTGACCACTTTCTTCTGTACCAGAGGAAGAGCTGTTATCAAATTTAAGGCCAGTTTCTTCTTCTGGAACCTCCCTCCCATCGCTTCCTACTTTCTCGGGCTCCCTCCTTTTTCAAAAACTTTCCTGTCTGCTGGCTCGCCTTATCAGGCTATAACCAAGTTCTAGTCTCTCCAGTGTGAAAAATAAAATACCATCTTTCAACCTCACATCCTCCCCTGTCTACTTCCTTGCCCCTTCTCCCCTCCAGAGTTAAATTTCTTGAACAAGTTGTCTGTTGCCTTCCTCACTGTCTTGAGAACCTGACCTCTACTTACTCCTTCATCCGTTCAGCCTGGCCTCTGCCTCCATAGGCCACCCAAACTACCCACGCAGAGGTTACTGGTGGTTTCCGTGATGAGAAATCCACAGGCTACTGATTGTTATAGAAACATAAAAAAAGAACTTCATTATGGGAAATTTCAAACATACCTATAGGTGGAAGGAACAGTGCAGTGAATTCCCACGTGTTCCATGCCCGGTGTCCACAGTCACAACTCACAGCCAATCTTGTTGCCACCATCTCCACCTGCTCCCTCTCACCTCACCCTGGATAAGTTTAATGAAAACTCCAGATAGCATATCATTTATCCCAAAATATTTCAGTATGTGTTTCAAAAACAGAAGAATTCTCCAAGGCCCATTTCAAGTCTTTATTTTGACCAACCCTATCTGACAATTTGGGTTTATTTCTTTCTTGAAACACTCACGTCCCTAAACTTTGATGACACCATTTTTTCTTACTCTTCTTGGTTGCTCTCCAGGCTGTAGCTGACTTTTTAAAAAAAATTTTTTGAGACAACGTCTCGCTCTGTCGTCCAGGCAGGAGGGCTGTGGTGCCATCTCGGTTCACTGCAACCTCCGCCTCCTGGGTTCAAGCGATTCTCCTGCCTCAGTCTCCCGAGTAGCTGGGATTACAGGCGTCCGCCACCACACCCGGCTAATTTTTGTATTTTTAGTAGAGCAACAGGGTTTCACCATTTTGGGCAGGCTGGTCTCAAACTCTGGACCTTAGGTGATCCACCCGCCTCGGCCTCCCAAAGGGCGTGGATTACAGTCGTGAGGCTCCACGCCCGGCCCTTAGTTGAGCTTTTCTTTGTCAGCTTTTCCTCCTCGAGGCTTTGCCAGGGCCCTGACCTTCCTTTTCACACTGCCCACCCTTCCCAAAGCTGCAGCCGCCATCCACAGGCCCGTGGCTTCCGGCGTCAGCCTGTGGCCTCATCCCCTTTCCTGAACGCCAGACGCTGCTGCCAAACTCCCTGCCCGGCGACTCTCCCCGCGCCTCTCACAGGCGCTTCGACTTGACATCTTTCAAACTCAGCGCATCCATCGTCTTTGCCACCAAACCTCCCTCTCTGCTGTGTTCCTCCTACTCTGGCCTCATTTCCGTTCGTCAAAATTCCTGAGATTTTAATGTAGTTTACGCCAGTTGCATACATTTAAATGTGGGATAAAATTTAATTTTTTTTTTATTTTGGAAAATTTCAAAAATGCCCCTGATAAAGGAAATAACATAGTGAGTGCTCAAACATTCTTGATCCAGCCTCAACACCCAACGTTTGGCTCACCTTATTTCATCTGTTCCCCTCCACTCTTTTTTTTGCTAGAATATTTTAAAGCAAATAATATACATTGTATTACTTTACCATAAATAGTTTAGTAGCTATCTCTGAGATATATGGGCATGAAAAACAATAACTTAAGTCTGGGCACTGTTGCTCCTGCCTGTAATCCCAAATCCCAGCGCTTTGCGAGGCTGAGAAGGGAGGGTTGCCTGAGGCCACGAGTTTGAGACCAGCCTGGCCAACATAGAGAGATGAGATCCTGTCTCTACAAAAAAATAATTTAAAAAGAGAGAGAGAGGCCAGGCGTGGTGGCTGACGCCTGTAATCCCAGCACTTTGGGAGGCCAAGGCGGGTGGATGAGGTCAGGAGTTCGAGACCAGCCTGACCAACATGGTGAAACCCCGTCTCTACTAAAAATACAAAAATGAGGCCGGGTGCGGTGGCTCACGTCTGTAATCCCAGCACTTTGGGAGGCCGAGGCAGCCGGATCATGAGGTCAGGAGATCGAGACCATCCTGGCTAACAAGGTGAAACCCCGTCTTTACTAAAAATACAGAAAATTAGACAGGCGTGGTAGCTGGCGCCTGTAGTCCTAGCTACTCGGGAGGCTGAGGCAGGAGAATGGTGTGAACCTGGGAGGAGGAGCTTGCAGTGAGCCGAGATCGCGCCACTGCACTCCAGCTGGGGCGACAGACCGAGACTCCGTCTCAAAAAAAAAAAAAAAAAAAAAAATTAGCCGGGCGTGGTGGTGTGCACCTGTAATCCCAGCTACTCAGGAGGCTGAGGCAGGAGAATCGCTTGAACCCAGCAGGCAGAGGTTGCAGTGAGCAGAGATCATGCCATTGCACTCCAGCCTGGGCAACAAGAGCAAGGCTCTGTCTCAAAAAAAAAAAGAGAGAGAGAGAGAAATAACTTCGATGTTATTATTATATCTAATAAAATTACCAATATGTTCACATTTCCCTGTACATCTCTAAAATGTCTTTTTATAATTGCTTCATTCAAATTAGGACCCAGATAAGTGCCACAAAGTGGCTTTGGTTGCAGCCTCTTTTAAGCCTATTTTATTTTATTTTAATTTGAGATGAAGTCTCTGTTGCCCAGGTTGGAGTGCAGTGGCACGATCTCGGCTCACTGCAACCTCTGCCTCCTGGGTTCAAGTGATTCTCCTTCCTCAGCCTCCTGAGTAGCTGGGATTATAGGCATGTGCTACCATACCCGGCTGATTTTTGTATTTTTAGTAGAGATGGGGTTTTACCATGTTGGCCAGGCTGGTCTCCAACTCCTGACCTCAGGTGATCCACCCACCTCAGCCTCCCAAAGTGCTGGGATTACAGGTGCGAGCCACTGCACCCAGCCTTTTAAGCCTATTTTAATCACTCCTCTTACCTGCCATTCCCCAATGTCATTTATTTATTTATTTATTTTTGAGACAGAGTCTTGCTCTGTTGTCCAGGCTGGAGAGCAGTGGCACAATCTCGGCTCACTGCAACCTCCATCTCCCGGGTTCAAGTGATTCTCCTGCCTCAGCCTCCTGAGTAGCTGGAATTACAGGTGCCCATCACGCCTGGCTAATTTTTGTATTTTTAGTAGAGATGGGGTTTCACCATGTTGGCTAGACTGGTCTCGAACTCCTGACCTCAGGTGATTCGCCCACCTCGCCTCCCAAAGTGCTGAGATTACAGGCGTGAGCCACCATGCCTTGCCCCATGTCATTTATTTTTGAAGAAACCAGGTCATGCCTGTAGAATTTCCCTACGTCGGATTCAGCTGACTGATTTCTGTTGTGTCATTGTGTTTTTCCTCTATTGTCCATATTTCCCATAAACTGGTAGGCAGCGCTAGAAGCTTGATTCCATTCAGATCTAATTTTGTTGGTGAGCACATGTCATAGAGGTGCCATCTACTTCCTGTTCCTCACTCTCAAAAACTGGTCAGTGGGTTGAGGTGGTGTCAGTCTGATCCCCCATTACAGTTTCTCTATAACCTTTTGCCTGATGTTTTAGTAGCTGTTGATGATTGTTGCCTAAATACATTATTTCATTAGTTGCTACCATTACTTCTGGATTTACTAACTGGATTTTCATTTAAAAAGAACTTTCCTGGCTGGGCATGGTGGCTCATGCCTGTAACCCCAGCACTTTGGGAGGCTGAGGCGGGTAGATCACCTGAGGTCAGGAGTTCAAGATCAGCCTGACCAACATGGAGAAATCTCGTCTGTACTAAAAATACAAAATTAGCTGGGCATGGCGGTGCATGCCTGTAATCCCAGCTACTCGGGAAGCTGAGGCAGGAGAATCGCGTGAACCCGGGAGGCAGAGGTTCCAGTGAGCCAAGATCGCGCCATTGCACTCCAGCCTGGGCAACAAAGTGAGACTCCGTCTCAAAAAAAATAAGTAAATAAAAATAAAGACCTTTCCTTCATTAACTCTTTGGTTACTTTGAAACACAGACTCCTGGGCATGTGGCTCATGCCTGTAATCCCAGTGTTTTGGAGGCTGAGGTGGGAGAATCACTTGAAGCCAGGAGCTTGAGACCAGCCTGGGCAACATAATAAGACCCCATCTCTCTAAAAAGAGGAAAGAAAGAAAAAGAGAGAAAGAAGGAAGGAAGGGAGGAAGGAAGGAAGGGGAGCAAGCAAGGGAGAGAAAGAAAAAGAAGAAAGAAAGAAAAAGAAAGAAGAAAGAAAGAAAAGAACTTAGAAAGAAAAGAAAAGAAAACAAAGAAAGATGCAGAGTATATAGGAAGACACAGGATAAATGCTTGACTCACTCCTTTCATTTGCCAATTTTCAGCATAATGTGTTGGTCCCTCAGCAACCTCCAAAGACAACAATGAGGGATTTTTCATGGGGGTGGAGAGGACTTGATATAATGATATATCATTACATTGTATATAAATTTAATATAAATTTTTATGTATATTTTATATAAATTTTATAATTTTGTTGTTTTCCATCCATTATAGTGATTATTCTTTTTGATGCTGAAATTATTCCATTTTTTACTTCATCCAATTAGTTCCTGTATCTTTGATAAGACTCAAGAGGTCTTTAATAGTTTCCTTCCTTCTTTGATAAGATTCAAGAGGTCTTTAATAGTTTCCTTCCTTCCTTTTTTTTTCTATTTATTTAAATTTTAAAAACTTGTTGTTTCCCCCCAGTGGCTCCTTATGGACCCAAGCTCTCTTACTTTCTGACACAAAGGCTATCCCTGGAACATCTTGTACATTTTCTTTTCTTTTTTCCTTTTTTTTTTTTTTTTGAGATGGAGTCTCACCCGGTCACCCAGGCTGGAGTGTGATCTCGGCTCACTGCAACCTCCGCCTCCCGCATTCAAGTGATTCTCCTGCCTCAGTCTCCCAAGTAGCTGGGATTACAGGCCTGCACCACCATGCCTCGCCAATTTTTTGTATCTTTAGTAGAGACGGGGTTTCACCATGTTGGCCAGGTTGGTCTCAAACTCCTGACTTCGTGATCTGCCCACCTCAGCCTCCTGCAGTGCTGGGATTACAGGCGTGAGCCACCACACCCGGCCTCTCCTAGTGGATATAGTATTTGGAACCCAAGAACCAGGCCCCAGGAGAGCTCACTGCTACTGAGAGCCATTTCGTCTAGGCTCTTTCAGTGGGCAGAGGTAGAAAAAAGTTTCAAAAATCATGAATTCATATTTATATTCAAATTAGGATATTTACAATCTAGGCACTAAGAATAGTCATTGCTAGTAGGTGTCATTGCTTTTTTTTTTTTCTCGAGATGGAGTCTCACTCTGTCACCCAGGCTGGAGTGCTGTGGCGCAATCTCAGCTCACTGCAAACTCCTGGCCTCCCGGGTTCAAGAGATTCTCTTGCCTCTGCCTCCCGAGTAGCTGGGATTACAGCTGCCCTCCACCACTCCCGGCTAATTTTCGTATTTTTTGGTAGAGATGGAGTTTCACCATGTTGGCCAGGCTGGTCTTGAACTCCTGACCTCAAGTGATCTGCTCGCCTTAACCTCCCAAAGTGCTGAGATTACAGGTGTGAGCCACCGCGCCCGGCCAGGTGTCATCGCTTCTTGTTCTTTTTCGGTAGAGTTACCGTCATTAAATGAAACACACATTAATGGGTTGCAGGGGTCTCACTTTCATGTTCTTTTCCATTCTGCTGTGTTATTTGTCCATAATAACCCTACAACACATATAATATTTAAGTCTAGAACTTAATGGGACAACTTGGGTGAATCTCAGAAATAGAAGGTTGAATGAAAAGAAAGGAGACAGAAAAATGTGTACACTGTAGGTTACCATTTATCCAAAGTTAAAAAACAGGCCGGGCGAGGTGGCTTACGCCTGTAATCCCAGCACTTTGGGAGGTTGTGGCAGGCGGATCCCTTGAGGTTAGGAGTTGGAGACCAGCCTGGCTAACATGGTGAAACCCCAACTCTACTAAAAACACAAAAATTAGCCGGGCATGGTGGCGGGCGCCTGTCATCCCAGCTACTTGGGAGGCTGAGGCAGGAGAATCGCTTGATCCTGGGAGGCCAGGAGGTTGCAGTGAGCCGAGATTGCGCCATTGCACTCCAGCCTGGGCGACAGAGTGAGACTTCATCTTAAGAAAAAAAAAAAAAGCAATGACACCTACTAGCAATGCCTATCCTTAGTGCCTAGATTGTAAATGTCCTAATTTGAATATTAATATGAATTCATGATTTTTGAAACTTTTTTTCTACCTCTGCCCAGGAGGCAGGAGAATCGCTTGAATCTGGGAGGCAGAGGTTGCAGTGAGCCAAGATTACACCATTGCACTCCAGCCTGGGTGACAGAATGAGACTCTGTCTCAGGAAAACAAAACAAAACAAAACAAAGAAAACCTGAAAAAACAAAAACAAAAACAAGTCCGAAATTCAAAAACAAAAATCTATGCCCCAGAAGTTGGAAGGCGGGGTCAGTGAACGGGAGGGCCACAGTGCTGGGCGCCGGGAATGTTCTTTCTGTGGGTGTTGATCGCAGATGCGTGCTCACTTTGTAAAAGGTCATCTAGCTGTACACTTATGATTTGGGCACTGTTCCCTGTGTATACTTTATTAAAGATGTACTCTAGGAAGATTGAACCTGTGTTAAATCCCAGTCCCTAATCTAAGCGTAGTCTCTTCATAATTTTGTTTTGTTTTGTTTGGAGATGGAGTCTCGCCCTGTTGCCCAGGCTGGAGTGCAGCGGCACGATCTTGTCTCACTGCAACCTCCACCTCCTGGGTTCAAGCAGTTCTCCTGCCTCAGCCTCCCGAGTCACTGGGATTACAGGCGAGCACCAACTATGCCCGGCTAATTTTTGTATTTTTGGTAGAGATGGGGTTTCGCTGTGTTGGCCAGGTTGGTCTTGAACTCCTGACCTCAAGTGATCTGCCCACCTTGGCCTCCCAAAGTGTTGGGATTACAGGCGTGAGCCACCACGTGCGGCCTCATAATCTATTTTTTGGGAGTCATCTTTTTGCTTTATTTTGGTTCGAAGAGCTATACAGTCATATGCCACATAGCAATGTTCCTGTCAAGGATGGACCAAATATACAAGATTATATTATTATAAGATTATAATCTTAGAATCCCATAAGATTATAATACTGTATTTTTACTGTACCTTCTCTATGTTCAGATATATTTAGATACACAGATACTTACCATTGTGTTACGATTGCCTACAGTATTCGGTAAAGTAACATGCTGTACGGGTTTGTAGCCTAGGAGCAATAGGCTACACTATACAGACTAGGTGTGTAGTAGGAGGCTGTACCATCTAGGTGTGTGTAAGTACACTCTGTGATGTTCACACAACTACGAAATCGCTGAATGACGCATTTTCCAGAATGTATCTCCATTCTTAAGTGACACATGACTGTACACTTTGGGAGGCCAAGGCAGGAGGATTGCTTGAGCCCAAGAGTTGGAGACCAGCCTGGGCAACATGGCAAAACGCCATCTCTTAAAAAAAAAATAGAAAAATTAGCTAAGTGTGATGGCATGCACCTGTAGTCCCAGCTACTCAGGAGGCTGATGTGGGAAGATCACCTGAGCCCGGGGAGGTTGAGGGTGCCGTGAGTTGTAACCACGCCACTGCACTCCAGCCTGGGCAATGAGTGAGACTCTGTCTTAAAGAAAAAAATAAAAAGAATTAAATCATGGATTCTATCTTGTAGGAGTTTAAAATCAATTTTTGCCATAATCTTCATCATTGGGAAGTGGTCACTGCATTCTCTCATCCATCCATGGGAAGTGGTCACTGCATTCTCTCATCCATCCATTCATTCCTCAGCATTTGTGGAGAATCCACCACCTCTCTGTTGAGAGGAACAGCATTTCTGAAACCTGGAGTAAAGGTGAGAGCTACATTTTACTTACCATTTACAGGCCAGGAATGACACTAAGTTTTATATATCTTTTTTTTTTTTTTTTTGAGATGGAGTTTCGCTCTTGTTGTCCAGGCTGCAGTGCAATAATGCAATCTCGGCTCACTGCAACCTCCCCCTCCCAGGTTCAAAAGATTCTCTTGCCTCAGCCCCTCTAGTAGCTGGGATTACAGGCATGAGCCACCACTCCTGGCTAATTTTGTATTTTTAGTAGAGACGGGGTTTCACCATGGTTGGGCTGGTCTCGAACTCCCGACCTCAGTGATCTGCCCGCCTCAGACTCCCCAAGGGCTGGGATTACAAGCGTGAGCCACCACACCCGGCCTAAGTTTTATATATCTTTTCTCATTTAACTCTCACAACAACCTTATGAGGTTAATATTTATTATCCTTATCATCCATATTTAATGGAAGAGAGAAGGGAGGCTTAGGGAGGTTAAATAATTTGTCCACACTCACATGAGAGTGGCTGAACTAGGAGGCTGCCTCGGTGCTGTAGAGGCCAGGGCCCCTTTGCTTAACTGCTGCATAAGCTTTGGGAGAGGACGTGGTGGAGGAGGCGTCCTGGACGCAGCAGTGGGCCTCTGGGACCTGAGGCGGCAGGGGCAAGAAGCAGCCTGGACTTTCGGGACCCTATGGGGGTACTTAACAGAGCCAGAATGAAATGTGTTCCCAAAGCTCTGGGGAGTGTCCTTGAATGAGAAAGGCTGGGTTTTGGCTCTGGAGATGAGGCATGGGGTCCATAGAGAGAACCAGGGCTTAGCAAAAAGCCATGGTGTCCACCGAGCGAGGATTCTTTCGCTGCAGCTCTCCACATGTGGTCCTGGCGGGTCCTCCTGTCCTCTTTTCTTTCTTCACCATCAAGCAGCAGTCCACCTCGGCACCACCCACATGCTATCACCGCAGCAGGAAGGATCTGTGATTCCAGGGCGCCACTAATGAACTAGTACGCGAAATCTCACAAAATAGTCATGTGTATACACACATACACACATACTGTGTGTATCACAGCATCACACTTTTGGGCCGGCTGGAAAGGCACCAAAATGAAATAATACCAATCAGAGCTAAAGGTTAGGATTTACTGCTGTGTTATTTATTGCAGCCTTGTAGAAAAAACCAAAAACTCAAAGCATCTTATTTTCTCAGCCTGTGAACAATTCATAAACGTTTTGTTTCCTCAGCAATACAAAGCATCTGAGGTCTGTGATTTATTAACAGGAAGAAGTTGTTCTTCCCCTTTGAGAAAAGATAACGATTACAGGAGAGCTGCTTTCTCACCTGAGAGGTAGGGCCGTTGAGCCTCGCCTAAGCTCGTATCACTAAGATTCTGTGACCCGCAGCCCTTTCCACACCACAGGTAAGGAAAGACGGCTCTTAGATTACTAGTCGTGACTGGCCTCACCACCCCTCCCCAGCCTGGGCCCTGCAGAGGCCGTCTCTCACTCTGTGTTGGCCCTCGAAGGCTGGCCCGTCGCTGTGTGGTTCTCAGTCCATCCATAGCCCAGTGACACCTTTCAGGGAGGCTCCAAATAGCTCTCACGTGTTTCTCTCCCTCCGCCAGGGGGCTATCGTCTCATTAGGAGACCACCACAAAAACTTTTCACCTCCATTCTCCACACACTAAGTCTTGAGGTTTTTGGGCTGAGCACTGTGGCTCATGCCTGTAATCCTAGCACTTTGGGAGGCCAAGGCAGGCAGATCACTTGAAGTCAGGGGTTCGAGACCAGCCTGACCAACATGGTGAAACCCCTGTCTCTACTAAAAATACAAAAATCAGCTGGACGTGGTGGCGGGCACCTGTAATCCCAGCTACTCAGGAGGCTGAGGCAGGAGAATCGCTTGAACCCAGGAGATGGAGCTTGCAGTGAGCCAAGATTGTGCCATTGCACTCCAGCCTGGGCAACAGAGCAAGACTTCCTCAAAAATAAAAAAAAAAGTTTTAAGGTTCTTTTTACCGTGGTTTATGAGGCTTTGTTCTAATAACTCAAATAAATTGAAGCTTATCTTAAAAGAGGATAAAACTACGGTATTTTCAGTGTATACCCTGTATGTACACATCACATGTTGGACCCGACTTTCCAAATACGATTCGCCAGCATTGGCACTCACATATGTAGCTCATGATCAAAGGGCGATGAATAATGTTGCTTCATCCCGAGACTCAGGTGGCGTTACTGAAGCATTTAGCATCCCCCTTTCATCAGTGCCAGTGCCGCAGATGCTGCGGGCAACAAATTGTGCGCCCTAGTGGTCCACACGAGTATTTCTCATTACAATATTAATTGTAAAGTGTAAAAACCAAGTTACAAAAACCCACCGCGTTTTTATGTTGCTGGGGGAAGATTCCACAAATTTCTGCCATCTACTTTCTTTATACTCTTTTAAAGCTTTTTTTTTTTGGAAAATAAAACATAAATACAGAAAATCATACAAAAATGAATGTATAGCGTAATGAAGGCAAACACCCTTGTAACTACCATCCAGGTCAAGGAATAGAACTTTGCAAGCCACTGAGAAGACCATCCACGGGCCCCACCCCTATCACGTCCCAACCACCACCGCCGCCAAGAAACCACGAAGACAATCACTTGGTCGTGTTTCTTTATAGTGAACACCTGGGACTCTATGGTTGTCCAGTTAAAAAAGTCGTGGCTGGGCGTGGTGGCTCATGCCTGTAATCTCAACACTTTGGGAGGCTGAGGCAGAGGTGGGAGACCAGCCTGAGCACCATAACAAGACCCCATCTCTATTTTTTGAAAATTAGTTATGATTTTAAGTCTCCGAAGCTACAAGTTTCCCCTCTCTTTCTTATTCTGACAATTTATCTGTTGAAAAACCTGAATCCTTTGACCTGTGAAATTTCCCACAATCTGGATGTTGCTGATGAAGTATTCTCGGTGGAATTCAATGTGTTCTGGATTTCCTACGATGTAGCAGCTGGATCCCAAGGTATGATGAGACTTAGGTTCAGACTCTATGGCAAGACTAAGTCACTACTGGATCTTGAATCAGGAAGCACAAAACGCAGGTCAACTCTGTTGCTATGTTAATAGTCATGGATGCCTGATGCCTAAAGCCATTAATCCACTGACAATTACAAAATTGTAATACTCTAATTCTACCGCTTTTTTTTTCATTTGTTAGTTGCAATACCTTTTTTTTTTTTTTTTTTTTTGAGATGGAGTCTCGCTCTGTTGCTAGGCTGGATTGCAGTGGCATGATCTCAGCTCACTGCACCTCCAACTCCTGGGTTCAAGCGATTCTCCTGCCTCAGCCTCCCGAGTACCTGGGACTACAGGTGTGTGCCACCAAACCTGGCTAATTTTTGTATTTTTAGTAGAGACGGGGTTTCACCATGTTGGCTAGGATGGTTTCGATCTCCTGACCTCGTGATCCACCCACCTCAGCCTCCCAAAGTGCTGGGATTACAAGCTTGAGCCAACGCGCCCGCCGGTCTATTAGTTGCAATACTTTCATAAAGAGATGCCTCCTCTCATCTACCATTAGGTTACCCAGTGGTACAATCCATGTAGGAAAGTTGGGAAAAGTACTAGATTCTTTTCTCTCGTAAGTTTTCTAAGATAAGGAATGGGTCCCCCACCCTCCTCTCCCGGGAAGAGAATTGGTTCCCTAGCATCCTCCAAATGTGATGATTAAAAATGTTTGAATATAATTAAGAACTTAGGGATTTAAACATATTTGATCATTTTCAGTCCCTTGGAATTATTGAAGCATAAATTGTGTCATCTTCAGTAAGTGGATGCCTTTTCCAACTGGCTCCTGAATCCTTCTTACATGGCCCTAGTAGTCTTCGGTAGTTTTGTTGCTATCTGATGTGACTAGATGATATGACAAAGGTCAAAATGTATATTTTCTGCCCCAAACTGGGAATCAGTCATTTCTTCATGAAGCATTTGTTTCTTTTAGTGGGAAATGGTATTTGAAGACGGTACTCTGGGCATAAAGATGCTGGCTGCTACTGTGCTGGTCGTTGCTTTGCTTTTGGGCCTTCTCAGTGAAGATTTTGCATATATAGACACATGAAGAGAATAGAATAGAAAATACCTCATGCATTCACACTGATACTTTACATTCAGATTCAGAACAGCAAGGAATTTTACCTAACCTCTACATCTTGAGAATCCTGTATACACATTCTTCCACGTTGAAAATATGATTCTCAAAACCAAAATCTAGAATGGAATCAGAATACCTCATCTTGCGCATTTGATGTGTCCGCATTACTCATAACAGTGTCGGAGCTGCAATACTAATATTACCATCACTAATATAATTACTAAAAAGGTTTTTTAAAAAGCTTTTTTTCTGTGTGCTTGCTCACACATTTTTAAATGTGTGTGCTTGCTCACACATTTTTAAATGTGTGTGCTTGTTTTTTTGTTTTTTGTTTTTTTTGAGAGGGGGTCTCGCTCTGTCGCCCAGGCTGGAGTGCAGTGGTGCCATCTCGGCTCACCGCAACCTCTGTCTCCTGGGTTCAAGCGATCCTCCCACCTCAGCCTCCCGAGTAGCTGGGATTACAGGCATGCACCACCACACCGGTTAATTTTTGGATTTTTAGTAGAGACATGGTTTCACCATGCTGGCTAGGCTGATCTCAAACTCCTGACTTCAAGGTGATCCACCCACCTCGGCCTCCCAAAGTGCTGGGATTACAGGTGTGAGCCACCACACCCAGCCTTTAAATGTATTTGTAAATGTTCTTGTCCCATTTTTAAAAATGGCAGTACTCAGCTGGGTGCAGTGGCTTACACATGTAATCCCAGGACTTTGGGAGGCTGAGGTGGGTGGACTGCTTGAGTGCAGGAATTTGAGACCAGCTGGATAACATAATGGCATTCCATCTTAAAAAAAAAATTGCCGGGCATGGTGGCATGCACTTGTAGTCCCAGCTACTTGGGAGGCTGAGGTGGGAGGATTGTTTGAGCCTGGAAGGTTGAGGCTACAGTGAACTGTGATTGTGCCACTGCACTCCAGCCTTGGTGACAAAGTGAGACCTTGTCTGAAAAATATTAAATGAAAAGTGAAAAAATGGCACTACTATACACTATCAGAGCATGTGGTCATTACAAAGTATACTCACTCCCTTTTAACTCTTAGTCTTAATTCCACAAGTAACTACACATTTAATAGTTACCGCTAGTTTTTATTTTGATGTCTGAATAGAGCAAAAGTTCTATTCAGGTCAGGTTCATTTTCTTTGTAAAAAGAGGAGGGAAAAACAAGACCAGTTGTGCCCATGTTGAGACGGTTTACACATAGTAGATAACAATGGCATTGTATGATGCTACTTAATACATTTCTTGAGCTCTTTTGCACATATATGTTGGAGAATTTCACATTGATGACCCACCATCCCATCTTTGTGGTTGCTGTTAATGGTGGTTAGGACAGTAGGGAAAAAGGTCTACTTTCTCCCTTCTGTTACGCTAGACCAGTTTCTCAACCTCAGCACTTTTGGCATGTGGGGCCGGATAATTCTTTGTGGTGGGGGTGCTGTCTGTGCCTTGTAGGATGTGTAGCAGCGTCCCTGGACTCTACTCACTAGATGCCAGTAGCACTCTTCCCCCTAGTCGTGACAACCAAAAATATCTCCAGACATTTCTAAATGTCCCCTGGGGACAAAATTGCCCCTGGCTGAGAACCCTGCACCCGGTTGCTGTTTTGACGCTCATAGATTGGACACGTTGCAGTTTTAAGCAGTTATCCCTGAGTAAAAGGGACTATTACAAGGTTCAAAGTCCAGACTAATGCGCTCTCATCTTCAAGCAATATTAACATTCCTTGACAGGAAATTTGTAGCAGAGAGCTAACTTTGTAACAGTTTTCTTTTTTTTTTTTTTTTGAGATGGAGTCTTGCTCTGTCATCCAGGCTGGAGTGCAGTGGCGCGATCTCGGCTCACTGCAACCTCGGCCTCCTGGGTTCAAATGATTCTCCTGCCTCAGCCTCCGAGTAGCTGGGATTACAGGCTCGCACCACCATGCCTGGCTAATTTTTGTATTTTTAGTAGAGACAGGGTTTCATCATGTTGGCCAGGCTGGTCTCGAACTCTTGACCTCAACTGATCCGGCTGCCTTGGCCTCCCAAAGTGCTGGTATTACAGGGATGAGCCACTGTGTCCTGCCAACGATGATCTTTATTATAATAATAGCTAATAGTATAATAATTAACGTAGTATAACATATTCACGCAATTCACAAAACAGTTTTCACTTATACTATTTATTGAACTAAGTGGGGATTCTTAAATCTTCCTACTCTAAAGATGAGAAAGCCAAAGCCCAAAGCAGTGAAGTGTCTTGCACAAGGTCAGCATAACAGTAAGCAGCAGAGTGAACGACAGGTTCTTGATCAGGCTCTCATCTTCATTAACTGTGTCTTGGATTATTGTCTGTCCTTAATGCACAAGAATAGACACACACACATGCAAGTTCATGCAGACAACCTTTTTCTTGTTGTTGCTAACCTTTTAGAATGGCTCTTACAATTTCCATGTAATTACATTTTATTCCAACAATAAGCCAGGAATCCACCATTAAGGGAGGTTCACGATGTTATTGCATATCCTACCACCAGGTGTCGCCATCGTATACTCACACGTGTTTCTTCCATTGGTGAATTCCTAATTCACTACATGCTCCAAGGAGTGATCAGCTAATTTATTTATTTTTTGGAGACAGGGTCTCGCTATGTTGCCCATGCTGGAGTGCAGTGGGTATTCACAGGTGTGACCACAGCGCACTACAGCCTTGAACTCCTCGGCTCAACAGATCCTCCTGCCTCGGCCATCCTGGTAGCTGGGACTACAGGTGTGCACCACTGTGGCCAGCCAGCTGATTTTAAGTAAGTGTATCCTACAGCAGGAAACAGTCCAAAGAGAAGAATGAGGATTAAAAGGTGAAGAGGACCAGGTGCAGTGACTTATGCCTGTAATCCCAGAACTTTGGGAGGCCAAGGCAGGTGGATCACATGAGCAGGAGTTCAAGACCAGCCTGGCCAACATGGTGAAACCTCATCTCTACAGTCTAAGAGCAATGTCTAGGCCAGGCGCGGTGGCTCGTGTCTGTAATCCCAGAACTTTGGGAGGCTGAGGCGGGTGGATCACGTGGTTAAGAGATCGAGACCATGCTGGCCAACATGGTGAAACCCCGTCTCTACTAAAAATACAAAAATTAGCTGAGTGTGGTGGCACACGCCTGTAGTCCCAGCTACTCGGGAGGCTGAGGCAGGAGAATCACTTGAACGCGGGAGGGGGAGGTTGCAGTGAGCTGAGATTGCACCACTGCACTCCAGCCTGGGGACAGAGCAAGACTCCATCTCAAAAAAAAAAAAAAAAAAAAGAGCACTGTCTAACCCTTTGAATGTGAGGACATTTTTGCTTCTCTATGGTGGCGGATATCTTGAAAATTATAATTATGCATGGACCTTTTTTTTTTTTTTTTTGGAGACAGAGTCTCACTCTGTCGCCCAGTCTGGAGTAGAGTGGGGTGATCTCGGCTCACTCTAGCCTCCGCCTCCCAGGTTCCAGCAATCTTCCCACCTCAGCCTCCTGAGTAGCTGGGACTACAGGCATGTACCACCATGCCCAGCTAATTTTCATATTTATTTTTTAGTAGAGACAGGGTTTCTCCATGTTGGCCAGGCTGGTCTTGAACTCCTGACCTCAGGTGATCCACCTGCCTCGGCCTCCCAAAGTGCTGGGATTATGCGTGAGCCACTGCACCCAGCAGCATTAGTGTATTTTATGTGTGGCTCAAGACAATTCTTCTTCTTCCAATGTGGCCCAGGGAAGCCAAAATGCTGGACACCTGTGGAAGGCATCTTAGCATCAAGGCCAAATGACTTTTCAGATAGTAAGGGCTGTGCTGCAGGCTCTGAGATGGAGTTTGATGGGCAGGATGTTTATTAAGGAGTGCCCTTGCGATCAGCACCTATAGAAGAGAGGAGGCAGAAACAGGAGAGGGCAGAGGGAGAAGCTAAGCTGTGATGTTGGCCAATGACAGCCTTGGCCAACCCCCGAGGAGCTCTGCCACAAATATGGCCCTTCAGAGTCTTCTTGAGTTGGGCTGAGATGGCTAGACCTTTATACTTCTGCATTTATGGGCAGTGGCTGTAGGCCACCCTAGACAAGGTGTGAATATCTGAAAGTGAATATTGAGGGCCGGGTGCAGTGGCTCACGGGGATCATGCAGCGCACGTCTGTAATCCCAGCACTTTGAGAGGCCAAGGTGAGAGGATTGCTTGAGGCCGGGAGTTTGAGACCAGCCTGGGGAACATAGCAAGACACTGTCTTTACAAAAAAAATTTAAAAATTAGCCAGGTGTGATGGCAGGTGCCCATAGTCCCAGCTACTTGGGAGGCTGAGGCAGAAGAATCCCTTGAGCTAAGGAAGTTGAGGTTGCAGTGGGCTATGATGGCCTCATTGCGCTCCAGTCTGGGTAACAGAGTGAGACCCTGTCTCAAAAAAAGAAAAAAAAAAGGAAGTGAATATTGAAATATTAATACTAAATCAAAATGGCATGCTTTGAGTATTACTGACTTTTTAAAATTTTTTATTTTTTTTGAGATGGAGTCTCGCTCTGTCACCCAGCCTGGAGTGCAGTGGTGCGATCTTGGCTCACTGCAACCTCTGCCTCCCAGGTTCAAGCAATTCTCTTGTCTCAGCCTCCTGAGTAGCTGGGATTACAGGCATGTGCCACCATGCCCAGCTAATGTTTGTATTTTTAGTAGAGACGGGGTTTCACCAAGTTGGTCAGGCTGATCTTTAACTCCTGACCTCAGGTGATCCACCCATCTCGGCCTCCCAAAGTGATGGGATTACAGGAATGAGTCACCGTGCCTGGCCCACATTTTTATGCTAGTAAGAGAGAAGAGTGATCACAGAATCATTGATCAGTCACAGTTCGTGGAGGCCATAAACATAAATAACATGGAAGTAGGCTCTTTGGCCTTCCAAAGGTCAAGACTAAACCAAGCCCAGTTAGCAGACTGGGGCCAAATGCTGAAACTAAAGTCCGATTTCCATGCATATCTAACCATTTGACCGGAAATCCCATCTCTAGGAGTTGATTCTAACTGGTGGACATATGGTGACCGTGTCCAGCATCCATCCTTCCCTTGGGGAATTTTCACCTTGGGCTGGCAGAACCCAGAGTTCCATGGTTCTCAAGCAGCTGGGACGACAAATCCTCCTTTGAAGGGTGGTCAGGTGGGGGCATCACAGTGTTGCCCATTGGATACAAGAAGTTGTCATCATCGCGGGAAGGGAGCTATGTGGGTGGATTGGAGTGACAGCAACAGAGGGTCGGGGAAAAGAAGGGGCACCACAGGGGAAGGGGTTGGGTGTGGAGGGACGGGAGGAGGGCGAGGGCAGGGTGTGTGAGAGGAGGCTACGGAAGAGGAACAGTCACGTTCTCATTCTGTCTCCCTCCTGTCTTGCTCATTCATGTGGAGGGCGGAGGGTGAACTGAGTTGGGAAGAAGGAGGGAAGAGGGGGAAATTGTCACACAGTTTGTCTCTAAGGCTGTCATGTCCTCAATGGCTCCAGCTGTTGCTACCCCTCGATGAAATCTGACTTTGTCACTGGCTAGTCACCAGAAACCAGACCTCCAGGTGGCTCCCTGGCTTCTCCCCTGCCTCCCCAGTTCCCATCTCTCGCTGCTCAACACCATGAGTAAATGCTATCGTGTTTTGTTGCATCTTCCCCACTTGAGTTGATTGTATTGAATCAGTCACGTCTTGGAGCTCGTACTGATCTTAGAAGTAGCCATGGTTTCTGCTGTGTTGTTTTAGGTTGTACATAGTCATATATACCCCTCTTGGGGCTCAAAGATAAAGGTACACGTTGGAGAAAGTGAAAATGAACTGTAAGCATTTATTGCTGTTTTGAAAAGAACTTGTTTGTTTTAAAATTTGTTGTGAAGATAATATAGGCCGGGTGCAGTGGCTCATGCCTGTAATCCCAGCACTTTGGGAGGCTGAGGTGGGGAGTCACCTGAGGCCAGGAGATCGAGACCAGCCTGGCTAACACGGTGAAACCCCGTCTCTACTAAAAATACAAAAATCAGATGGGTGCGGTGGCAGGCGCCTGAAATCCCAACTACTGGGAAGGCTGAGGCAGGAGAATCGCTTGAACCCGGGAGGCGGAGCTTGCAGTGGGCCAAGATCGTGCCGCTGCACTCCAGCCTGGACAACAGAGCAAGACTCTGTCTCAAAAAACAAAAACAAAAACAAAAACAAAAACAAATACAAAAAAAACAACCTTCTTAGCTTTACAAGATTATCTGAAAGTGACCGGCCAGGCACGGTGGCTCACGCCTGTAATCCCAGCACTTTGGGAGGCAGAGGCGGGTGGATCACGAGGTCAGGAAATCGAGACCATCCTGGCCAACATGGTGAAACCCCGTCTCTACTAAAAATACAAAAAATTAGCCGGGCGCGGTGGCGGGCGCCTGTAGTCCCAGCTACTTGGGAGGCTGAGGCAGGAGAATGGCGTGAACCCGGGAGGCGGAGCTTGCAGTGAGCCAAGATGGCGCCACTGCACTCCAGCCTGGGCGACAGAGCGAGACTCCGTCTCAAAAAAAAAAAAAAAAAAAAAAAAAGATGTCTTTGGTGAATAGATATTATTAATTTTAATATTGTCATATCTATTAATCTTTTTTTTTAATAGTTGTATTATTTACACCTTAAGAAATCCTTCCCTGGCCAGACGTGGTGGCTCATGCTTATAATCCCAGCACTTTGGGAAGCTGAGGTAGGAGATTGCTGGAGCCCAGGAGTTCAAGACCAGCCTGGGCAACATAGTGAGACTCTGTCTGTTTAAATTCCCACTTTGACTTCATTCACTCACCAATCATCGATGCTGGTCACATTGAGAAGAGGGCTTCTATTGTAGTTGTACTTACTTTAAAAGAGATCCTGGCTGGGTGCCGTGGCTCACGCCTGTAATCCAGTACTTTGGGAGGCCAAGGCAGGCAGATAACCTGAGGTCTGGAGTTCAAGACCAGCCTTATTAGGTTAGAATATCAAATTAGCCATTAGATATTAAAACCTATTAGCCATATTAGGTTAGAATATCAAATATTCTAACCTAAAACATAAAGTGAATATTGTTTTTGCTGATCTCTGAATGCAAGGCCAAGGTCTTCTCTTTGAGTATGGATCAGTTGAGTGGAATTCTGTGTCCTTTCTTGTGTAAACACACTGATAATTCATCATGGACAGTATCCAGTCTTGGTTACGTAAGTGGAACAAGAATTTAGACAGATGCTAAACAATCTGAGTGCCAAATCCTTTTAGGTTATCACAATTTTTTCTTTTTTAATTTTTTTTATCAAGATGGTGTCTCATTCTGTTGACCAGGCTGGAGTACAGTGGCACCATCTCGGTTCACTGCAACCTCCCCTTCCAGGGTTCAAGAGATTCTCCTCTCTCAGCCTCCTGAATAGCTGGGATTACAGGCGCCCGCCACCATGCTCGGCTAATTTTTGTATTTTTAGTAGAGAAGGGGTTTCACCATGTTGGCCAGGCTGGTCTCGAACTCCTGACCTCAGGTGATCTGCCCACCTCGGCCTCCCAAAGTGCTGGGATTACAGGTGTGAGCCACTACGCCCGGCCTATTTGTGTTTTTGATTATACTTTTTGAGTGAATGTGAACTGATATCTCATGGTGGTTTTAATTTGCATTTTCCTAATGGGGCATTTTTCAGTATCTTTTTTTTAAGATGGAGTCTCATTATGTTGTCCAGGCTGATCTCAAATTCCCAGGCTCAAGCGATCCTCCCACCTCAGCTTCCTGAGTAGCTGAGATTGCAGGTGCACCACTGTGGCCGCTGCGCGTCTTTTCATGTGCTTATTGGCCGCTTGTATATTTCTTTGGAGAAATGTCTCTTCAGATTTTTGACTACTTTAAGATTCTGCTATTTGTCTTTCTCTTTTTTTTCAGGTCTGGTGAACAGAAAGTAGTATTATTTTTCTTTTTGAGTTGTAATAGTTCTTTATGTTTTGGATACAAGTCCTTTATCAGCTATATGATGTGCCAATATATTCTCCCAGTCTGTGGACTGGCTTTTTCACTTTCTTTTTAATTTATTTTAATATATTTTTTATTTTTTTTGAGACAGGGTCTCTCTCTGTTGTCCAGGCTGGAGTGCAGTGTCACGATCATAGCTCACCGCAGCCTTGACCTCCAGGGCTCAAGTCATCCTCCCCTGCCTCAGCTTCCAGTGTAGCTGGGACCATAGGTGCATGACATCACGCTCTGCTGCTTTTTGTATTTTTTTGGAAGAGATAGGGTTTCACCATGTGGCCCAGGCTGGTCTTGAACTCCTGGGCTCCAGCAATCCACCCACTTTGGCCTCCCAAAGTGTTGGCATTACAGGCATGAGTCACCCCACCCAGTCTTTTATTTTTAATTTTTGAGTCAGAGTCTTGCTCTGTTACCCAGGCTGGAGTGCAGTGGCTCCATCATGGCCCACTGCAGCCTTAACCTCCTGGTCTCAAGCAATCCTCCTGCCTTGACCTCCGGAAGAGCTGGGATTACTTGAGCATTGTAATGAGCCACTGTGCCCAGCCATTTTCACTTTCTTGATGGCATCTTTTGAAGCAGAAAAGTTTCTAACTTTGATGAAGTCCAATTTATCTACTGTTTTCTTTGTCACTTGTGCTTTTGGTGTCATAGCTAAGAAGGCTTTGCCCAACCTAAAGGCATGAAGATTTCTCCTGTGTTTTCTCCTATAAGTTTTGTAGGTTGTGCTTTTATATTTAGGCCTATGATCCATTTGGAGTTTTTTGTGTATGGTGTAAGGAAGAGGACGTCCAGTTGTCTTTGTACAATTTGTTGAAAGGATTATTCTTTCCCATTGAAAGGTCTTAGCACTCTTGTCAAAAAACAATTGACCATAGAAGTGAGGATTTATTTCTGAGCACTCCATTCAACTCCATTCAACTCCATTCATCTGTATGTCTGTCCTTCTGTCCATTCCACACTGTCTTGATTTCTGAACTCTGTACTCTTTTGAAATTGAGAAGTGTGAATCTTCCAACTTTGTTCTTCTTTTTCAAGATTGTTTTGGCTATTCTGGGTCCCTTGCATTTCTGTATGAATTCTAAGATCAGCTTGTCAAAAAAGTCAGCTGGGATTTTTTTTTTCTTCACAATCTCAGCTGAGATTTTGATAGGAATTATATTGAATCTGTAGGTTAATGTGGGGAGTATCGCCATGTTAACAATATTGATTCTTCCCATCCATAATGTGGGATGTCTATTTATTTAGTTCATCTTTGATTTCTTCCAACAATATGTTGTAATTTTCAGAGTGTAAGTTTTGTATTTATTTTGTTACATTCATTCCTGAGTATTTTATTCTTTTCAATGCAATTATAAATAGAACTGTTTTCTTAAGTTTACATTTGTACTGTTCATTGCTAGTATATAGAAATACAGTTGATTTTTGTATATTAACCTTGTGCCCTGCAACTGAACCTATTTATTAATTCCAATAATAATTTAGTAGCTTCCTTAGGATTTTCTATATGTAAGACTGTGTCATTTCAAATATAGTATTGCTTGCTCTTTGCCAGCCAGACGCCTTTCATCATTGTCTTGCCTAATTGTCCTCCCATCAGATATTTAGGGCTGTTGTAATCATCTGGATTGGCTGAGTCCTTGACATTCCGAATGTTACACATCTAGAGCCATGGTTAGAGGTTTGGGCTTCTGAGCTAAGCAGAGCTTTCCTTTTGACAAGCTGACAGCCCCTACCAGAGTGAGGATATCAGCTCTTCTCCCAGGCTCTGCTAATTAACGTTTCAGTGGAGGCGTGATATGTGGTCAGTTTCCTCCACAGTCAAAGCAGGTCTCACTCCTTTGAATCCCCAAAGGCACATACACCCTGCAGCTCACGCGTGAGGGTCTCTCCACCTCTGCCATTGCCTTCAGCCGCCTCAGTCTTCTTTTTCAATACCCTCTGCTAATCCCCGCCACTCAACAGTTCTCCCAGGACCAAGCTCCTTTTCTCTGAATACTTAACAACACACTTGAACAGTTCTAAAACTTTTGACAGTAGAGAAATGTGGGTGTATTCTCATTTTGAACTCACAGGAAAGATGCAGGATCGGCGAGGTGCTGAGGCAGCGAAGTGTCAATCATGCATGTGAACACACACACACACACACACTCACACACAGAGTCGGATTTCCTGACAGAGGGTAGAAACTCTCCATGACTGTCATGGGAGGGAGCAGAGACTTTTCTCTTCTCTCATGTCACTTTTTGAACAGAACCCACTGCTGTGACATGTGTAGGCAGCAGGTCTCATCCCGGGAACAGCCCGACGGCCTGGGAGCCGGCATTTCTGAGCCACTCGCAAGCAGAGCAGGCAGGCAGGCCGGCCCACAGGTGCGGGGCCCACCTGAGGAAGCAGGAAGGGCAGGAGGGCCGCCTTCCCCTTCACTACTTGGGAATCCTGCCATCCGTCCAGCAGAGTGGCCGGGAATACACCAACGGTGGTGATTTTTCCAGCACTGACAATTGCTGGGGTGAGCCGTGGGCTGCTCTGAATTCAGCTCTCCTGCCGAATAGATTCAATCGAGGTCTCCAAGTGCCGACGCTCAGCGCAGAGCAGCTCCGTTCCACGTCAGTCACCCACACCGCTCTGGGCTCTTTCTCAGTGACGGGGAGGAATGAGTGGAGAGTCTGCTGATGCACTTGGTTCCTTGCTGTCCACGGTGAGAGTTGATTTTCCTGGCCAATCTTTGCAGTTGAACTGATCACACTGCAATCTGTAGTTTGACAGGGTGGTAGGCTTTGCATCCAATTTGTACATAAAATGATAATATTACGAGCACTAGGTGGGGGTGCTTAACAGTTCAGAAAAAAAGGACTTTCACTTCCCTCCTCAAATGTTTACCCCTCAGGCCCTGAGAGGTTGATTCTTCTCACAGGGAGTAAGCACAGGAGTCACCTCCACCTCCCCCAAACCACCTCCTTCCACCATAAGTGGAATGGCACTTCCTGCCCCCTTGGCATAGGATCTGCTGCAGGTTATGGTGGGCCTCCATTTTCCATTAAAGTCCAGGAGTAAAACCATATACGGTTGCATAAATTAAAAGTCACTCTTGAATTCAGTGCTAATAAAACTTTCTGCAATGATGGAAATATTCTGTAGCTGCATCGTCTAATATGGTGGTCACCAGCCATATGTGGCTACTGAGCACTTGAAATGTGAAGTGCTCATTTCATTCTGAAAGAACTGAATTTTAAATTTTATTTCTTTTTTTTTTGGTGGGCGGGGAGCGGTTTGAGACAGAGCCTCGCTCTGTCACCCAGGCTGGAGTGCAGTGGTGCAATCTCGGCTCACTGCAACCTCTGCCTGCCGGGTTCAAGCGATTCTCCTGCCTCAGCTTCCCGAGTAGCTGGGATTATAGGTGCCTGCCACCATGCCCGGCTAATCTTAGTATTTTTAGTAGAGACGGGGTTTCACCATGCTGGCCAGGCTGGTCTCGAACTCCCGACCTCAGGCACTTCACCCACCTCGGCCTCCCAAAGTGCTGGGATTACAGGCGTGAGCCACCGCGCCCAGCCTCTAATTTTATTTCATTTAAACTTCATTTATTTAGAGACAGGGCCTGCTGTGTCGCCCAGGCTGGAGTGCAGTGGCATGATCACAGCTCACTGCAGCCTCAGTCTCCCGGGCTCAAGTGATCCTCTCACCTCAGCCCCTGGAGTAGCTGGGACCACAGGTGTGCACCACCACACTCACCTAATTAAAAAAAAATTTTTTTTGTGGAGATAGGGGTCTCACTATGTTGCATAGGCTGGTCTTGAACTCCTGAGCTCAAGCAATCCTCCTGCCTAGGCCTCCCAAAGTGCTGGGATTACAGGTGTGAGCTGCCACCTCAGCCATTTAATTTTTTTTTTTTTTGAGACGGAGTCTTGCTCTGTTGCCCAGGCTGGAATTTAGTGGCGTGATCGATCTCAGGTCACTGCAACCTCTATCTCCCGGGTTCAAGCAATTCTGCTGCCTCAGCCTCCCGAGTAGCTGGGACTACAGGTATGCACCACCATGTCCGGCTAATTTTTGTATTTTTACCAGAAGTGGGGCTTCGCCATGTTGCCCAGGCTTGTCTTTAACTCCTAAACTCAAGTGACCCTCCTGCCTCAGGCCCCCAAAGTGTTGGGATTACAGGTGTGAGCCGCCGTGCCTGGCCCCCAGACATTTAAATTTAAGGAGTCCCATATTGGCTGGGCACGGTGGCTCATGCCTATAATCCCAGAACTTTGGAAGGCTGAGGCAGGAGGATCACTTGAGTTCAGGAGTTCAAGACAAGCCTGGGCAATGTGGTGAAACCCCGTCTCTACCAAAAATACAAAAACAGCCCGGTGTGGTGGCCTGAGTCTGTGGTCCCAGCTACTCAGGAGGCTGGGGTGGAAGAATCGCTTGAGCCTGGTAGGTGGGGGTTGCAGTGAGCTGAGATGGCACCACTGTACTTCATCCTGGGTGACAGAGTGAGACTCCAGAATCACATATGGCTAGTGGCTATGGTATCAGACAGTACAGCTCTATATAGAAAACATAGAGACACCAGAGGTCTCCCATGTCAAAGACATGTCTACTCTTGGGACAGTGTTGCAATAAAAAAGGTATCATCTTAAAAAGTTTGAGAGATCTAAATAAATTTAAGCCTTTTTTTTTTTTTTGCTAATGAGGTGAAAGAGTATCAATTCCCTTAAAAAATTTAACCACCAGGCAAAGGTCTTTTTGCAAAGAAAAATTTGGAGTGTTTTAAAAATAAGAGTTTTTTTTTCTAAAAATTGTATCCTATTAAATAAAAATTTAACTACAAAAATAAAAAGGTTTTGGGGATTGTGGAAATAATATATTCAGAGGGATTATAGTTATAAATGACATAAGAATTTGGATTGATCTGAATACTCTCTTTCTTGCTAAATCAAGCCTTCTTTCATCTGTCAGGGTTTTCCTGAGAAATGAAGCAGTAAAACTCTGCAGCAATAACTTGGATATATGTTAGTTGGGCTATACCAGTGGTTCTCGGCCTTAGTGGTACATTGGAATCATCTGGGCTATACCAGTGGTTCTCGGCCTTAGTGGTACATTAGAATAATCCGGGCTATTCCAGTGGTTCTCGGCCTTAGTGGTACATTGGAATCATCTGGGCATCTTTACTAAAACACTGGTGCCTGGGCCCCATCCCCAGAAATTCTCATTGAATTCTATCCATGCTGAGCCCAGACCAAACTTCCTAGGTGACTTTACTCACTAATTACTGAGCTAACTCATCACCACCAGGTGATTCTAATATCCAGCCAGGGCTGACAGCCACAGGCCCGGCTAGTTTTTGTATTTTTTGTAGAGAGGGGGTTTTTCATGTTGCCCAGGTTAGTCTCAAACTCCTGAGCTCAAGCGATCCTCCCACCTTGCCCTCCCAAAGTGCTGGGATTCCAGGCATGAGCCACAGCACCCGGCCTCTGTTTTTCTTTTGTAAATTACCCAGTCTGTGGTATTCTGTCACCGCAACAGAAAGCAAACTAAGACAGGTGGTTGATGATGCAGAAGAGCATCTACTTTTTCTAGCTTCAGGAAAAGAGAGCGTACGTCCCTCCTTCTCATCTTTAAGATTCTTTCACCAGGCATCAGAAGAGCAGGGCCTGCAGTTTTCAGGGGTGAGTGCTTGAATCCCATCAACAAGCACTGAGGAGGGGGATGGAAGCAAGCTGAGAAGCGGAAGACTTCAAATATATATATATATTTAAAGGGCAGAGAGGAGTATTAACAAGTGGAGTATGGGGCCTGCAATATTTTGCATTTGCAGTGTAGACCTGTTAGTTCACAGCTGTCTGGTCAGCTGCCCCATTTATCCATGGAGTTTGAGGCTTCCATGCTGTTTCCATCACAGACTTCTCACCCAGAAAGCTGCAGGGACTCTATGACTAGACACACCAGGATACACCAGTCTTTTTTTTTTTTTTGAGACAGAGTCTCGCTCTGTCATCCAGGCTGGAGTGCAGTGGCATGATCTTGGCTCACTGCAACCTCCACCTCCTGGGTTCCAGCGATTCTCCTGCCTCAGCCTCCCAAGTAGCTGGGATTACAGGCATGCGCCACCATGCTCGGCTAATTTTTGTATTTTTAGTAGAGACGGCTGGCCTGGCTGGTCTTGAACTCCTGACCTCAGGCGATCTGCCCGCCTCAGCCTCCCAAAGTGCTGGGATTACAGGCCTGAGCCACCACACCCAGCCTAGGGTATGCCACTCTTTAAGGATCTGTCCTGATGAGCTGTCACAGCTTCTTTGGATAAGCCTGCTTCTGTGGCTTCAACCTCTTATGATCAGACAAGACTTCCGTAGGTTGACTTGGCCACTGCCTGTTGTAGCTCAAGCACATTTCTTCCCGTCAGCTTCTATGGAGACAGCGAGCAACCATTTGGGTCCTTGCAATCATAAACAAGCTGTTTTTAAATCATCAGTGAATGAAGGGGGACATCACACACCGGGGCCTGTTGTGGGGTGGGGGGAGGGGGGAGGGATAGCATTAGGAGATATACCTAATGTAAATGACGAGTTAATGGGTGCAGCACAACAACATGGCACATGTATACATATGTAACAAACCTGCACGTTGTGCACATGTACCCTAGAACTTCAAGTATAATAATAAAACAATACTAGGCAATAATTAAAAGTTTCCAACGATTGATATAGCCACGAATGTGGAGGAATTTAAAATCTTTTTCTCAATGAAAGAAGACTTACACAGCTAGATGAATCTCTAAATGGGCAAAACTAATTTATGTTCAAAGAAATCTGAACCTTGATCATCTGAGGGGTTGTGGTGTATAAGATTTGACTGTAAGGGGGCCCCAGTGAACTTAATGGTATATTGGAAACACTCATTTTTTTTTAGAAATATGAGTTTCAGCCATGTACATATTTTTCAAAACACGTCAAACTGTAACATTTAAGATCTCTGCGTTTAATCTAAACATATCTCAATTTCAAAAATGAAAAAAAAAAAAGAAAAGGAGAAGCCTAAAAATTAAACTCCAGGACAACCAATAAGTTATAGAAGAGGAGAAATGTGATCATTGTTCTCGACACTGCTTTGTTGTGAATAATACTAACAAAGGTAAAATAATGAAAATACAAAATATCAACTTAAAAAAAATTATCAGTGAAATTCTTCCCAAGTCAAGAGCCAAGAACCTACAGCTGCTGTAACTTTTTTCTTTTTTTCCTTTTTTGAAGAGATGAGGTCTTACTCTGTCATCCAGCCTGGAGTGCACTGGGGTGATTATAGCTCACTGCAGCCTCAAACTCCTGAACTCAAGCCATTTTCCTGCCTCAGCTTCTCCGGTGGCTGGGACTACAGGCATGTGTCACCCTCTCCAGCTAATTTTTAATCGATTTTCAGAGTTGGGGGATAGTTATGTGGTCCAGGCTGGTCTCAAACTCCTGGGCCGAAGCGATCCTCCAACGTCGGCCTTAGGAGCAGCTGGGATTACAGGTGTGAGCCCCCACACCCACCTTCCTATAACTTTTCTTACTACTAATAAAAATAATCTCCATTCTCCAAGTGCCTGCTCTGTGTCAGCCACTGTACTAAGTACTTTACACACACTGTTTCATTTCACCCTTCAGTAGTCCTATGAAGTAGGTAGCATTATTCTCATTTTACTGGTTAAGAAACTGAGGTTTAGGCCAGGCACGGCGGCTCACACCTGTAATCCCAGCACTTTGGAAGGCTGAGGCGGGTGGATCACTTGAGGTCAGGAGTTTGAGACCAGCCCCGCCAACAAGGTGAAACCACATCTCTACTAAAAATACAAAAATTAGCCGGGTGTGGTGGCACACGCCTGTAATCCCAGCTACTTGAAAGGCTGAGGCAGGAGAATAGCTTGAACCCGGGAGGTGGAGGTTGCAGTGAGCCAAGATCACTCCACCGTGCTCCAGCCTGGACAACAGAGTGGGCTAGGTCTCAAAAAAAAAAAAAAAAAAAAAAACCAAACTGAGGTTTAGAGAGATGAAATGTTTTTCCCAGCATGAAAATCCGAAGTGTCAGAGGCTGAGGTCAGCCCGGGCCCTGCTGGCTCTCTCGTTACGCTCTTCACGGCCTTGCTGTTTCTGCGGTGGCTTGAAGGAGGGGAAGTCAGAGAGGGGCCAGGCTGCAGTCGTTTCTCTGCGGTACATGAGGGTGAGGGCTCTGAAAACCATCCTCATGGGTGACTACTAAGATAGTCAGGCTGTGGGATCATCCCACTTGCTTCAGCCTAGACCTTCCTGTCCACGAAACTGCACACATTTGTGAGCACTCGCCACGTGGCTGCCGTGAACGCCCGTGGACATCGGGACATGGCAGTGACCCAAACAGAAAAAACCCCCACTCCCAATGGCATTTTAGAGGGGGGACAGACAATTAACAAGGTTAGTAAGTACAGCATATGTTATTTACTTGTTTATTTATTTAGAGGCAAAATCTTGCTCTGTTGCCCAGGCTGGAGTGCAATGGCATGATCTCGGCTCACTGCAACCTCCACCTCCCAGGTTCAAGTGATTCTCTTGCCTCAGCCTCCCAAATAGTTGGGATTACAGGCACCTGCCACCATGCCTGGCTAATTTTTGTATTTTTAGTAGAGACGGGATTTCACCATGTTGGCTAGGCCGGTCTTGAACTCCTGACCTGAAGTGATCTGTGTCTTGGCCTCCCAAAGTGCTAGGATTACAAGTGTGAGCCATTGCACCCAGCCACATATAGTATGTTTGATGGCAGTAGTGCTAAGGAGAAAAAAATAGCAGGCAGGGTGAGTAGGAAAAGCTGGAGAAGGGTGAGCCTTTTTAGAGCAGCCTGTCTGGGGTCAGAGCAGCCCAGGCAGACAGAGTGGAAAGGACCAGCCCTAAAGCCTGGCGTGTGCTCAAGGGGGTCAGTGTGGCTGCAGCACAGGGGATGGGGGTCAGCAGGGAAGAGCGCGGAGAGATAAGAGGCAGAGTCAGCTAGGGGCTGCAGGCCCACGCTAAGGTCTACAGCTTTTCTCTAACTGAAAATGCATTTAGAGAAGGCTTTTAAGGAGGGGAGTGACAGAATTGAATCAGATCTTTCTGAAAACTGCTGAGAGTAGGTTGCAACGGGGTGAAGACAGAGCCGTGGGGCCTGTTAGGACACTACTGAAGTAACCCAGGTGAGGAATGATGGTGGCAGTGGGGGAGATGGAAAGGAATTGGGTTTGGATGTATTTTGAAGGTATTGCCAACAAGACTTCCTAATGAGCTGGCTGTGTGGGGTGAGAGAATGCAAACTGAGGAATGTCTTTGGTCTGAGCAACTAGAAGAATAAAGTTGCCTTGAACTGAAATGGGGAGACTGCCAAAAGGCTGGCTGAGTGGAGAACTGGGAGCTCTGTGAGGCTGGAGATGCCCATCGTCTAATGGCAGTGGGTAGGTGGGTGTGGAGCTCAGGGGAAAGGGTCTTCCTGATGATAAAAATTAGAGAATCAGGCTGGGAGCAGTGGCTCATGCCTGTAATCCCAGCACTTTGGGAGGTCGAGGCAGGCAAATCACTTGAGGTCAGGAGTTCGAGACCAGCCTGGCCAACATGGTGAAACCCCATCTCTACAAAAATACAAAAATTAGCCGGGCATGGTGGCAGGTGCCTGTAATCCCAGCTACTTGGGCCACTTGGCAGGCTGAGGCAGGAGAATCACTTGAACCTGGGAGGCGGAGGTTGCAGTGAGCTGAGATCATGCCACTGCACTCCAGCTTGGGCGACAGAGTGAGACTCCATCTCCAAAAAAAATTAGAGAATCATCGTTATATCCATCATATCCATCTACACCTATCAGATATGCAGTATTTAAAGCCATAAGACAAGCTGAGATTTCCTCAGCATTGAGTATAGGTATGCAAGAGAACGTCCGAGGATTGAGCCCTGGAGCACACTGACAGTTAGAGGTCAAGGATAGGAAAAAGACAAACAAGGCCGGGCGCGGCGGCTCATGCCTGTAATCCCAGCACTTTAGTCAAGGATAGGAGGATAGGAAAAAAACCAACAAGGCCAGGCGCGGCGGCTCACACTTGTAATCCCAGCACTTTAGTCAAGGATAGGAAAAAGAACCAACAAGGCCGGGCGCGGCAGCTCACGCCTGTAATCCTAGCACTTTAGGAGGCTGAGGTGGGGGGATGGCTTGAGGCCAGCTTGGGCAACATATCGAGACCTCATCTCTATTAAACATTTAAAAATTAGCCAGGTGTGGTGGTGGGCACCTGTGGTCCCAGCTACTCGGGAGGCCGAAGTGGGAGGATCACTTTAGCCTGGGAGGTCAAGGCTGCAGTGAGCTTTGATTGGGCCACTGCTCTCCATCCTGGGTGACAAGGCAAGATCTTGTCTCAAAACCACCACCACCACCACCAACAAAACCAACAAAAGTGCTTGAGAGACGGTGTCTAGAAAGGCAGGAGGAGAACCAGGAGTGGGCAGCATCCTGGAAACCGAGAGAAGAAGGCGGTTCAAGGAGGAGACAGCGTCAGTTGCATGTCATGTCACCAACGGGTCAAGCAAGAAGAGGGCCGACAGGTGACCATGGAATTCACCAGTGACCTGAACACTGATTTAGTGGCATGGTGGGGGCAAAAGTCCAGCTGTGGTGAATTCGAGTGAGGACCGGAGGAGAGAAATCAGAGGCAGAGAGAAGAAGAGTGTCCTCCATTCTTTCAAGGAGTTTTGTTGTGAAAGAAGGTAGAGAAGTGGAGTGGAAGCTGGAGGGGGAAGTGAAGTGAAGAGAGCTGTTTTTTCTTTTCTTCTTAAGATGGGAGAAATACAGTATGTTTATGAGCTGATGGGATTAATTCAATCGAGAAGGAAAATGCGGAGGTGCAGGAGAGAGAAGACAGAGCGGCAGGAGAGATGTCCGCGAGTGGGCCGCAGGGGCTGGGATCCCATCCCACGGAGGGGCAGGTGGGGGCAGGGCAGCTCACCCACGCCGCGGGGAGAAGGCTGAGTGCTCAGACACAGACACGGGGGGTGGGTGGGCGCGCTGGTGAGAGCACGTAGGAGCTCTTTTCTGGTGGCTGCGATGTTCTTGGTGGCATAGGAAGCAAAGTTGCTGAGAGGGAGGAGGGGGAGGAGGTGTTGAAGGTGTAGAGAGAGAGGAGAAGGTATGAAATCATCACCTGGGAGAGTGGGAGAGAGGAGACGAGAGAAGTGTGATACGTTTGTGGAGCATCAGTCAGGGCCCACTGGATTTTGTCAGCAATGCAAAGGGTGAACAGAGGCTGACTGAGTTTGTTCTCCAGCCATGGGGCGATGCAGGCCCAGAGCGGCTGGAGAGTTCCATTTAACCAGGGGTGTGATTTCATCAGAGAGAACCTCAAAGCGAGAAAGAGGTGAAGAAGTCGGAGGGTATAAGCAGATGAATGACCGTCATGATTGGATCAGGAGGGAGGGGAGGACGTGGGGGCTGGGGGACAGTGAGAAGGTGGTGAGGTCTCTATAGGGCAGGACTGTAGGTCTTGGTGGCTCACAGGATTGCTGGAATTGGGGGGCCGAGGGAGTAAGCTGGACAGATAGAGGACATGGTCAGGAGTGGTTGGAGAGCGGGTGTAGGCGCTGTAGGTCTGGATAATGATGAGGTTAAGGGTATGACTCTGGGTGGCTGAGAACAGAGGGGTGGAGGTTCTGGGCCTGGGCAGCCTCAGGCTACACTGACTGGTGCTTCTGTGGGCACTTCGGTCCTCCTGGAGAGCCTCTATGAGCGTCATGCTCTCTGTGTGTAGGTGCCAGCAGCTTTGCTTGGGGAAGGGACCCCACAGGTGCCATTGGGGCATAAAGGACAAGAAAGACAGATGAGAGAGAGGGGAGAGGGGCAAAACAAACAATCTGGTTTACATTGAGCACCCCATTTATAATTCCCCTGCTTCACTGTGTCTTCCATTCTGTAACCACAGGCCATCGATGGCTGGTTCTTGAGTGAACGAGTCATCTACTCCATGAGACATTTTGTGTGAGTGTGCAGCCCTGAAGCACAACCAGGCTGGAAGCCCGGCCCCACTGCAGGACCCTATGCCTAGAAAACGAGCTTTCCCTTTCCTTGAATTGAGTTCGCTGGGTTTGTTTCATGCTAGTAACTTGTGGGTGGGGAGCCAAGAGGGTGTGTCCTGTCCCAGGATAGGCAGCTGAGGAGGGTGTGTTTTGGGGGGCAGGATAGATAGGTTTAACCCCGCTGGCCACCACCCCATTAGAGCAGCTGAGGTGAGCTTCTCGTGTCTGCTGGAATCCTCAGTTTGCCTGGGTGTCCTCCAAAGCTATCCCTCCCTGGGGACCTGCAGACCTGGGCAGCTCCTAACTCCACCTGGGAGTCAGCCATGCTGTCTCCTGCATGGTACAAACATCTCTGTAAGTGACTGTGCTCTTTGCCATAAAAGAAAGTCTAGTGCTCTCACTGTGTTAGCATTTGACCACCCACCCTCCATCTTCCTGCTGTGATAACCATGCGGGGTGGTGTCCACCAAGCTGAAGAGGGATTTGATTTACTTGACTTGATATCAAGAGGCACTGTACTTTGGGAAGTCACTTACCTCTCTTGGGCCTAGGTTTCCCGATCTGTAGAAATGAGTAATAATTTATGTTTTTCTATAAAGCTGCTAAGAAGCTCAAATGAGATATTTATGAAAGTGCTTTGTAAACTGTACGCTGTAAAAACAAGTTACCTGTTATTGTCTTATCTTTGTAGAAATAACAGCAAATAAGTACAAGAAAGATGAGAGCGAGAGAGAGAGAGACCGTGAGCGCAAGAATTACACCCGGTATGGAAGACGACTCTAAATAATGTAAGTCTTAGAGGAGCCAGCCATCCTAGAGCAGATTCCCATAAAAATCAAACCAGGAAAAAATAAAGAAGAGAAGTTAAAGTTCATTGCTGGAAAACCATGTTTTTCTTTGAGCCCCTGTGGGAGGAGGTTATTATTTTAGTGCAGGAAGAGGACTATAATTCAGTTCTCCCAATCAGAGCCTTCTGATGCGTTACCATGATTCACAGGCTATGACTCACACATTAGAATTCTCACTAGTACATTACCAATAGTTTATATTCCTTAAAAAGGAGGTAAGATGAAGAAGAGCGATTACATAATTGTTTTTATTTCAGCTTATACCTTGGGTTTATCTGACATGAAATTTCACAAAGAGGAAGTTTCTCTCCACTTGCAAAGAAAAAAAAACTCATTACTTTATTCAGAAATCACATTTCCAAAATGCTTGTTAACCTCAGTACTTTTGCTGTCACACTTGGTAAACTACTGTGAAGGAAATTAATTTCTTTTGTTATTATTATTATTTTATTTGAGACAGAGTCTTGCTCTGTTGCCCAGGCTGGAGTGCAGTGGCACAATCTCTGCTCACTGCAACCTCCACCTCCCAGGTTCAAGTGATTCTCCTGTCTCAGCCTCCCAAGTAGCTGGGATTACAGGCGCCTGCCACCACGCTTGGCTAATTTTTTGTATTTTTAGTAGAGACAGGGTTTCACTATGTAGGCCAGGCCGGTCTTGAACTCCTGACCTTGTGATCCACCTGCCTTGGCCTCCCAAAGTGTTGGGATTACAGGTGTGAGCCACCGTGCCCAGCTGTTATTATTTTTTTTTTTAAGAAACTGGGTCTTACTCTGTCACCTAGGCTGGAGTGCAGTGTTGTGATCGTAGCTCACTGTAACCTCAAACTCCCAGGCTCAAGCAATCCTCCTGCCTTAGCCTCCTGAGTAGCTGGGACTGCAGGCACACACCACCCCAGCTGGCTGATTTATTTATTTATTTAGATTTTTGTGGAGACAGAGGTGTCGCTTTGTTGCCCAGGCTGGTCTTGAACTCTTGGCTTCAAGCAATCCTCTTGCCTCAGCCTCCAAAAGCGCTGGGATTACAGGGGTAAGCCACTGCACCTGGCCAGAAATTAATTTTTTTTTTCTTTTTTTTTTTTGAGATGGAGTCTTGCTCTGTTGCCCAGGCTGGAGTGCAGTGGCACGCAATCTCGGCTCACTGCAACCTCCACCTCTCAGGTTCAAGCGATTCTCCTGCTTCAGCCTCCCGAGTAGCTGAACTTACAGGCACGCGCCACCATACCCAGCTAATTTTTGTATTTTTAGTAGAGACAGCATTTCACCATGTTGGCCAGGCTAGCCTCAAGTGATCCACCCGCATGGTACTCCCTAAGTGCTGGGATTATAGGCGTGAGTCACCACTCCTGGTTCAGAAATTAATTTTTCTAAGGTCAGCAATACAAATAAATCAGTGTGAAACACCCTAACCCATAAGATTTCTTCACTATCAATAGCCATTCTAAAACACATTTATTAGATATTTTTGAATTATGTTATTGTGAATTATATTTTTCAAAATTAAAAAAATCCACCAGTTCATCAAAACACAAGTAAATACTCTCTTTTCTACCACCCACTCATGTCCATCAAAAAGATCAATCAAATCTAATATAAACATCAAGCCAGATACACCAAAGTTATTAGAATGGCTGGGTGTGGTGGCTTATGCCTGTGCTTTGGGAGGCTGAGGTGGGAGGATCACTTGAGCCCAGGAATTTGAGACAAGCCTGGGCAACAGAGCAAGACCCCATCTCTACAAAATACACAAAAATTAGCTGGGCATGGTGGTGCATGCCTGTGGTCCCAGATACTCAGGAGGCTGAGGTAGGAGGATCACTTGAGACTGAGAGGTCGAGGCTGCAGTGAGCTATAATTGTGCCATTGCACTCCAGCCTGGGCAACAGAGCAATGAACATTTTATTTATTCCATTTCATTGATGTCAAGCTCACATAATCACAAATATTCTAATCTGGGAGATTCAAAACCTGTTGATGATCTGAACGTTGTCTAGATTCTATTTAAATGTCTCCTGCGGGCTGTAAAGCTACACACTTCCCGTGGAATAAAGACGTTTACGTGCTTTTTGAGTTAAACCACTTTGACTGCATTAGGCCAGGTCTACACTGACTTCACAGGATATTGAAATGATGATGATGATGAATGTTTATTACTTACCTGAGTAACTAAAGTGGTTTAGGCACTTTGCATGTATGTTTTTTATTTATTTATTTATGTTTTTGAGACATAGTCTCACTCTGTCGCTCAGGCTAGAGTGCCGTGGTGCAAACCCAGCTCACTGCCACCTCAACCTCCTGGGCTAAAGCAATCTTCCCACCTTACGCTCCCAAGTAGCTGAGACTACTGGTGCGCACCACCACGCCCAGCTAATTTTTTTTTTTTTTTTTTTTTTTTTTTTTGAGACAAAGTCTCGCTCTGTTGCCCAGGCTGAAGTGCAGTGGCACGATCTCGGCTCACTGTAACCTCCACCTCTCAGGTTCCAGCGATTCTCCTGCCTCAGCCTCCCAAGTAGCTGGGATTACAGGTATGCGCCATCATGTCTGCTAATTTTTGTATTTTTTAGTAGAGATGGGGTTTCACCATATTGGCCAGGCTGGTCTCAAACTCCTGACTTCATGATCTGCCCACCTCGGCCTCCCACAGTGCTGGGATTACAGGCGTGAGCCATCACACATGGCCCCGGCTAATTTTTTATTAGTAATTTTTTGTAGAGATTGTGTCTCACTATGTTGCCTAGGCTGGTTTTGAAATCCTGGGCTCAAGAAATCCTTTCGCCTTAGCCTTCCAAAGTGCAGATTACAGTCATGAGCTACCATGCCCAGCCTCATATACACATTTTAATTCATCCCTCAATACTGAGTTTGAGAAAACAGCCTCAAAGAGGTTAAATCATCTACCAATGGTTACTCAGCAAGTGGGTGGCTGAGCCGGAATCCTAAACCATGTCAATCTTTTCCCATCATATGACACAATGCCTAAATAAACGTTCTACCAAATGAAAGGCGAAGCTCAATGTGAAGAATTTTAACAAGGCACTGGATTCAGATCAAAATTTTAATTTGGAGCCCAAATCATTTAGATCAGTTCTCTGCCTTGGCTAACCTAATCGGTGGATCTCTACTTCAATGGGTGCCAGAGGATTGGGTCTCAACGAATATGCACTTGAAAAAACTAGAAGGAAAAAAAGTCCTTTGGGCAACATGTCTTCAAAAAAATCAACCAAAACTCCCTTTGGGGCTGTGGTTTTCCCACAGAATCAGAGAGGAATCAGGTCTTATATCAGTTTCTTGCTGCCCAGAAATTTCAAAGCAACAATGTTCAGAAGGAGACTCTGAGAAAGCACGACAGCAACAAAAATGGAAGGAACCAATGGCTGCAAGGTTCTTGCATGATGTGACCTCGGCTAGGTCATCTTTTCCTAGATCGATAGGTTTGGCACCTGCTGTGATTGGACTGGGCTCCTGTGCTTTTGGCAATAAGGGTCCCATAGCCAGAACTCACTGTTGTCCTTCCTTTCAGGAACTTCTCTTGAGGCAAAAGAGATGCCCCTCGAACTAACTGAGCTTTAACTTAATGGAACCCAGACAGGAGCTGCATGATCCAACTTCCTATCCAGGGATTCTGAGAGGCTGAACAATTCTAGCCAAGAAAACGTAAGCTTGTTGGAAGGAATTTATAGCAGTGTTATCTCCTAAGACATTCCACATGCCCACTCCCATCACCCCAGTAAAATATGTTGAATTGCCGGGTATGGTGGCTCATGCCTGTAATCCCAGCACTTTGGGAGGCTGAGGCAGGCAGATTGCTTGAGGCCACAAGTTTGAGACCAGCCTGGGAAACAGAGAAACCCGTCTGCCGAGACCAGCTTGGTTGTGGATACCCTAACCCAGTGGCACTAGAGGAATTAAAGACACACACACAGAAATATAGGGTGTGGAGTGGGAAATCAGGGGTCTCACAGCCTCCAGAGCTGAGAGCCCCAAACAGAGATTTACCCACATATTTATTGACAGCAAGCCAGTGATAAGCATTGTTTCTATAGATTATAGATTAACTAAAAGTATTCCTTAATGGAAACAAAGGGATGGGCTGAAACGAAGGGATGGGTCTGGCTAGTTATCTGCAGCAGGAGCATGTCCTTAAGGCACAGATCACTCATGCTATTGTTTGTGGCTTAAGAAGGCCTTTAAGCGGTTTTCTGCCCTGGGTGGGCCGGGTGTTCCTTGCCCTCATTCCGGTAAACCCATAACCTTCAGCATGGGCGTCATGGCCATCAAGAATATGTCACAGTGCTGCAGAGATTTTGTTTATGCCCAGTTTTGGGGCCAGTTTATGGCCAGATTTGGGGGCCTGTTCCTAACACCCATCTCTACTAAAATTACAAAAATTAGCCAGGCATTGTAGTACACACCTGTAATCCCAGATACTTGGGAGGCTGAGGCAGGAGAGTCACTTGAACTCAGGAGGTGGAGGTTGCAGTGAGCCGAGATCGCACCACTGCACTCCAGCCTGGGTGACAGAGCAAGACTCTGTCTCAATAAACAAACAAACAAACAAATAAATAATGTTGAATTGAAGCATAGTATACATTGAGAAAAGGGCATAAATCCCTAGTGGATAGCTCCATAAATTTTCACAAGGTGAACATACCTGTATAACCAACATCAAATCAGGAAATAAGACATTACCAATAACCAGAAGCCATTCAAGCCCCTTCTCTTTCTCTCCAGAGCAGACACTCTCCTGACTTTGTTACAGAATATATTAATTTTGCCTGAGTTTATATTTTATATAATTGGAATTCAATGTTGTACCTTGTGATGGTTAATTTTATGTGTCAATTTGACTGGGCCACAGGGAGCCCAGACATTTGGTTAAACCTTATTCCGTGTGTCTGTAAGGGTGTTTGTGGATGTGATTGACATTTGAATTGGTGGACTGAATAAAGCAGATTGCCCTTCCCAATGTTGGTGGGCCTCATCCAATCAGCTGAAGGCCTAAATATAACAAAAGGCTACTCCTCCCAAGAGTCAAAAAATTCCTCCTGCCTGATTGACTGTTTGTCCTGCCTTTGGACTCAGACTAAAACATCAGCTCTTCCTGGGTCTTGAGCCTACCAAACATTGGATCAAATCTTCATCATTGGCTGGGTATGGTGGCTCATGCCTGTAATCTCAGCACTTTGAGAGGCTGAGGCGGGTGGATCACCTGAGTTCATGAGTTCAAGACCAGCCTGGCCAACATGGTGAAACCCCATCTCTACTAAAAATACAAAAATTAGCCGGGTGTGGTGGCATATGCCTGTAGTCCCAGCTACTTGGGAGGCTGAGGCAGGAGAATCTCAGCCTCAGGAGGCGGAGGTTGCGGTGAGCTGAGATCATGCCACTGCACTCCAGCCTGGGCGACAGAGCGAGACTCTGTCTCAAAAAAACCCCCCAAAAACCAAAAACAAAAAACTTCACTAACAACTCTCCTGAGTCTCCAGCTTGCCAGCTGCAGATCTTGGGACTTCTTGACCTCCATAATTGTGTGAGCCAATTCCTTATAAAAAATCTCTTTATACATCTATTACTATGGTTTGAATATTTGTCCCCTTCTGAAACTTACATTGAAATTTAACCCCCAATGTGGCAGTATTGAGAAGTGGGGACTTTAAGAGGTGATTGGGTCATGAGAACTCTGCCTTCATGAATGGATTAGCCAGGCGTGGTGGTGGGTGCCTGTAGTCCCAGCTACTTGGGAGGCTGAGGCAGGAGAATTGCTTGAACCCAGGAGGCGGAGGTTGCAGTGAGCCGAGATCGCACCACTGCACTCCAGCCTGGGCGACAAGAGCAAAACTTTGTCTCAAAAATAAATAAATACAAATAAAAAAATAAATTACCCAGTTTTAGGTATTCTGTTCTAAGCAACAAAAAAATGGACTGAAACATCTATACCTATATCCATTCCCTATTAGTTCTGTTTCTCTGGAGAACACTAATACATACCCTGCTTGCTTTTACATTTTTACTTAATGTAATGAACAAAGTCTGCATTTATTAACAGACTTGAACTGAGCACCTACAGTATCTGGAGTACTTACCAAGCATCTGTCATGTCTTATAAATGAAATGTTTATTTTCTCCAGGATTATAATATTGATGAAATCAAAGCATCTAGAAGACCGTGCATTCCATTTTTAATCTAGCTGAGATGGCATAATTCATACCTCCTCAAATTTGGACAATTATAAATGACTCAACCAGCGAGTGCCAAATTCCACCTACACCCTGAGTATACCTGAAGCAACCACCGAAACCCAAGCTAATCGCCAGATGTATGCTCACTGAGTGGGTAACTTACCTAACCTTGAGGTGAGCTAAGAACCAAACACACTCACAGTTTAAAAAGAATGTTTTGGAAGTGGATTTTATTTTATTTATTTTTAGTTTTAGTTTTTTTGAGATGGAGTCTCACTCTGTCACCCAGGCTGGAGCTCAATGGCGTGGTCTCGGCTCACTGCAACCTTCACCTCCTGAGTTCAAGCGATTTTCCTGCCTCAGCCTCCTGAGTAGCTAGGACTACAGGCGCATGCTACCACACCTGGCTAATTTTTGTATTTTCAGTAGAGACTAGGTTTTACTATGTTGGCCAAGCTGGTCTCGAACTCCTGACCTCATGATTTGCCAGCTTCTGCCTCCCAGAGTGCTGGGATTACAAGCATGAGCCACCACACCCAGCCTGAAGTGGATTTTATGAATAAAGACTTTGTGGCTACCTGTTATCCTACAGAGTCTGATGTGGCCTTCACTTTAATACTTCCTCAAATAGATAGTAGTGAGATGGAAGAGGCAGGAGAAATATACATCTGGGGTCAGTGAGCCACCACACGCATTTCCATGATAATTCTCCATACTGGCCAATTGATCAATCATATATTGGAATATAATCCAAATGCTAGTCAAGGCCTCCGTGTCCATCTGGCTCCTGTTTGCATCTATCTCAAAACCTCACATTACCCTCCATAGAAATCTTGGCCCCTTCACTGGTTTCCACCAGAAATCCACCTAGACAGCTGTTTTTTGAGTTTTAATAGAATTTTACTCAGGGTTTGGGGGTACAGGCATCTCATTTTAATACAATGTACAGCATCCCTGTCTCATTTCTTATTCTCTTTTTGCTTTTCCTTTTTCTCACAAGCTCCATAAAGTACTCTCCTGATCTTCTGGCGAATAATTCAGCAAACGTCTTTCGTTGCTTGAGAATGCCCTGGGAGGCCTCCTTCTTATCCTCAGTAAGCTTGTCAGCATGTTTCTTCCAAGCACATATAGCACTTCCCCAGAGAGATCTAACAAAATAAAAAGTTTCCTCTTCTCATTATAACTTGAGTGATAACATGATTTCTATTGCTCAGCGTTAGTCTAGGCCCAGGGAGATATATAGGAGAATAGAAGATGATTCCTATCCTCAAGGCATTTAGAGTCCATGGAGAGATAATTACTAAGCATGAAATAGTTGGAAAATGCTTCAGTACCAGGCTATGTGGTAATGTCCATGCACTGGGCATTGAGAATAGTGCCAGGTCAGCTCAGCTCAGCCAGGGGAAAACCATCTTCAGGTGGGTGTGTGGGATGGGTTGAATTTGGTTTGGCTGCGTGGTGGGAGGAGAACAGTTCCGGGTAAGGGCACAGCATCAACAAAGTCATGAGTGTGGCAAGAAGGAGTGTGAGTGTGAGTACTGATGAGAAATAAACCTGGTTGAGAGAATGGAGTGAAATTATGAAGGGCCCTGAAAGCCAGACAGAGACGTGGACTGTGGGACCAGTGATAATGGAGATTCCCCAGCAAGTTCCTTGAGCAGAAAGTGACACACAGAAAAAATTGTCTGACAGCTGCGTACAGGATAAACTGGAGGGGAAAAGGGAGACCATCTGTTACAACCAAGCACTCAGACTGACATGTGGGTGTTTGGGATTAGGAGGGAAATGGGAAGGGAGATTGAAAGGTGAATCTGCTGGCCGGGCGTGGTGGCTCATGCCTATAATCCCAGCACTTTGGGAGGCGGAGGTGGGTGGATCACCTGAGGTCAGGAGTTCGAGACCAGCCTGACCAACATGGAGAAACCCTGTCTCTACTAAAAATACAAAAATTAGCCGGGCGTGGTGGTGCATGCCTGTAATCCCAGCTACTTAGGAGGCTGAGGCAGGAGAATCACTTCAATCCGGGAGGTCCACCTTATTGGTTGCAGTGAGCCAAGATCGCACCATTGCCCTCCAGCCTGGGCAACAAGAGCAAAACTTTATTTCAAAAAAAAAAAAAAAAAGGTGAATGCAAAAAACTTAAGCTTCACTGATCTGTAATTGGTCACAGGAATAAAGGAAAGGGGGAATGACTTGAGGGAGGCAGCCCCTCTCTGGATTCCAAGCCCTGCTTGGGATCAGAGGGCAGTGGCAGGAGGTGAAGGCTAAAGGTGCTTTTTAGTCTGGATGTTTGCGTTTCCCTCTGCATCCCTCCCTTCCTCTCCCGCTGTCATTCTCTCATCTTCTGTGTTCATTCTTACCGGGACATCTATACATGCCTCCCAGGTACAGCCCCCTGAGGTTCTGCTTAGCGAGGGATGAAGGGCTACCAATGACCCAGCAATAAATAGTAAGTGAATTTGTCTTGCATCGTGCCTGCAGGGGAATCTTTTCTAAGTTATTTAGAACCTTGAATTGTTCACTCTAAGGAAGGGCTTCTTAACCTGAGGACTATGGATAGATTGCAAGAGATCCATGGAGTTAGATAGGAAATTTACTAACCTTGAACTGAAATTGAGCATTATTATAAATCCAGGCAACAAACCACAGTAGCATTATCAGTCCCAGTGACTTGGTCACCATCAATGGAAATCACAGACATTTTTATATCATGTTACGGTTGTTTCAGAGAGCATGAACTATCTTCTGCACTTATTACTACTTTGCAATTTTAACAGTGAAACGAGACCTCCCACTTTATCTTGTTATTGAATGTGGTAATTTCTCACAAATATATGATTGATCAGAAATTTTAAAAATACTTTGGCCAGGTGAGGTGGCTCACATCTGTAATCCCAGCACATTGGGAGGGCAAGGTGGGAGGATCACTTGAGGCCAGGAGTTTGAGACCAGACTGAACAACACAGTGAGATCCCATTTCTACAAGAACTGAAAAGATTAGCTGGGTGTGATGGCACATGCCTGTAATCCTAGCTACTTGGGAGGCTGAGGTGGAAGGACTGCTGAAGCGATGATTGCACCACTGCACTCCAGCCTGGACAAGAGTGAGACCCTGTCTCAAAAAAAGAAAAAAAAAAGAAGGAAGGAAGGAAGGAAAAGAAAGGAGGAAAGAAAACGGGAAGGAGGCAGAGCAAGACGGCTGAATAGAAGCCTCCCAATTGTCCTCCCCACAGGAACGTCAAATTTGACAACTATCTACACACACACACACACACACACACACACACACACACACACACACACCCCTTCATAAGAATCAAAAATAAGGTGAGCAATCACAGTACCTGGTTTTAACTTCACATTGCTGAAGGAGATACTGAAGAGGGTAGGAAAGATAGTCTTGAACTGCTGACTCCACCCCTCCCCAATCTCCTAACAGTGGCCGTGAGGCACAAAAAGAGAACCTGTGTGCTTGGGGGAGGGAGAGCGCAGTGACTGGGGGACTTTGCATTGGAACTCAGTGCTGCCCCATCACAACACAAAGTAAAATCAGGCACAACTCAGCCAGCAACGGAGGCAGCATTTAGATCAGCCCTAGCCACAGGGGACTTGCCCATCCCAATGGTGGAAAGCCGACTTTTGGCAAATCTCGCCACCATGGGCTAAAGTGCTCTAGGATCCTAAATAAATGTGAAAGGCAGTCTAGGCCACAAGGACTACAACTCCTAGGCAAGTCCTAGTGCTGTGCTGGGCTTGGAACCAGTGGACTTGGGGGCACATGGCCTACAGAGACACAAGCCTGGGCAGCTAAGGGAGAGCTTGTGCCACTTATCCCCCGACCTCAGGCAGCACAGTTCACAGCTCTGAAAGAGACTTCTTCCTCCTGCTTGAGGAGAGGAGAGGGAACTTGGAAACCAGCTCAGCCACAGTAGCACAGGGCACAAGGTAGAGTCATGAGGCCTCCATTCCAGGCCCTAGCTCCTGGACTACATTTCTAGACATACCCTGGGCCAGAAGGGAAACTGCTGCCTTGATGGGAAGGACACAGTCCTGGCAGAATGCATCACCTGCTGACTAAGGAGCCCTTAGACCCTGAATAATCAGCAGCAATACCCAGGGAGTATGTCATGGGCCTTGGGTGAGATTCTGAGACGTGCTGGCTTCAGGCATGACCCAGCACATTTCTAACTGTGGTGGCTATAAAGAGGGACTACTTTTGCTTGAGAAAAGGAGAGGGAAGGGTAAAGGGGACTTTGTCAAAACCAGGCAGAACTCAGCCTAGGTATAATCTCAGCCACAGTGGGGTGTAGCACCAAGTGGGCTCTTGGGGCCCCTAATTCTAGGCCTTGGCATTTGGATGGCATTGCTGGATCTACCCTAGGCCAGAGGGGAGCCCACTTCCATGAAGGATGAGTCCTAGGCCTGGCAGCATTCACTACCAGCTGACTGAAGAGCCCTAGGCTTTAAGTGAGCATTGGTGGTAGCCAGGCTGTACTCCCCCTGGGTCCACGGTGGTGGTGGCCATGAGGAGAGAATCCTCTGCCTGTGGAGAGGGGAGAGAAGACTGGGAAGGACTTTGTCTTGTAGTTCGAGTGCCAGCACAGCTACAATAGGATAGAACACCAGGTAGGTTCCTAAAGTTTCTGACTCCAGGTCCTGGCTCCCAGATAGCATCTCTGGACCCACCTAGCACCTGGGGGAACTTGCCGCTCTGAAGGGAAGAGCACAAGCCTGGCTTCACCACCCACTGACTGTAGAGCCTTAGGGCCTTGAGCAAACACAGGTCGTAGCCAGGCGGTGGTTATAGCAGGCCACGGGTGGGACCCAGAGCTGCGCTGGCTTCAGGTCTGACCTGGTGCAGTCACAGTAGTGGTGGCCACAGGGGTGCTTGTGTCACCACTTCCCCAGCTCCAGGCAGCTCAGCACAGAGAGAGACTCTGTTTGTTTGGGAGAAAGGTAAGGAAAGAGAACAAGAGTCTCTGCATGGTAATCTAGATAATTCTTCCAGATCTTATATTCAGTACCACCAAGGCAGTACCTCTAAGAGTCTGTGGTTACCTCTAAGAGTAACCACAGTGTTACTGGGCTTGGGGGGCCCCTAAGGCAGATATGGCTGTAGTGACCAAAAGCTTAGATCACAACACTCAAGTCCCATCTGATATGCACAAAGCCTTCCTAAGAAGGACAGGTACAAACAAGCCCAGACAGTGAAGATTATAATAAATACTAACTCTTCAATGCCCAGATACCAATGAACATCCACAGGCATCACGACCCTGCAGGAAAACATGCCCTCACCAAATGAGCTACATAAGGAACCAGAGACCCATCCTGAAGAAGCAGAGATATTTGACTTTTTGGACACAGAATTCAAAACAGCTGTTTTGAGGAAACTCAAAGAAATTCAAGAGAACACAGAGAAGGGATTCAGAATTCTATCAGATAAATTTAACAAAGAATTGAAATAATTAAAAAGAATCAAGCAGAGATTCCGGACCGGAAAAATGCAACTGGCAAACTAAAGAATGCATTAGAGTCCTTTAATAGCAGAATTAATCAAGCAGAAGAAAGGATTAGTGAGCTCGAACACAGGCTATTTGAAAATATACAGACAGAGGAAACAAAAGAAAAAAAGACTGAAAAACAATGAAGCACACTTAAAAGGACCTAGAAAATACCTCTGAAAGGACAAGTCTAAGACTTATTGGCCTTAAAGAGGAGGCAGAGAGAGAGAGATGGGGTAGAAAGTTAATTCAAAGGGATAAAAACAGAGAACTTCCTAAACCTAGAGAAAGATATTGATATCCAAGTACAAGAAGGTTATAGAACACCAAAGAAGACGACCTCAAGGCATTGAATCATCAAACTCCCAAAGGTCAAGGAAAAAGAAAGGATCCTAAAAGCAGCAAGAGAAAAGAAACAAATAACATACAATGGAGCTCCAATACATCTGGCAGCAGACTTTTTAGTGGAAACCTTACAGGCCAGGAGAGAGTGGCATGATATATTTAAAGTGCTGAATAGGCTGGATGCAGTGGCTCACGCCTGTAATCCCAGCACTTGGGAGGCTGGGGGGTGCGGATCACCTGAGGTCAGGAGTTAGAGACCAGCCTGACCAACATGGAGAAATCCCATCTCTACTAAAAATACAAAATTATCCAGGCGTGGTGGCATACGCCTGTAATCCCAGCTACTTGGAAGGCTGAGGCAGGAGAATTGCTTGAACCTGGGAGATGGAGGTTGCAATGAGTTGAGATCAAGCCATTGCACTCCAGCCTGGGCAACAGGAGTGAAACTCTGTCTCAAAAAATAAAAAATAAAAATAAAGTGCTGAAGGATAAAAGAGTTTTATCCTAGAATAGTATATTTGATGAAAATATCCTTCAAACGTGAAGAAGAAATAAAATATAATCCCAGTACTTTGGGAGGCCGAGGTGGGCAGAACACGAGGTCAAGAGATGGAGACCATCCTGGACAACATGGTGAAACCCTGTCTCTACTAAAAAATACAAAAATTAGCCGGGCATGGTGGCACGCGTAGTCCTAGCTACTCGGGAGGCTGAGGCAGGAAAATCACTTGAACCAGGGGGCAGAAGTTGCAGTGAGCTGAGATCGCACTACTGCACTCCAGCCTCATGACAGAGTGAGACTCTGTCACAAAAAAAAAAAAAAAATGAAAGAATTGAAAGAATATCAAGTATTTTCTCTGACCACAATGAAGTAAAACTAGAAGTCAACGACAGGAGGAATTTTAGACACTATACAAACATATGGAAATTAAACAGTATGGTCCTGAAGGACCAGTGGGCCAATGAAGAAATTAAGAAGGGAATCGAAACATTTATTGAAACAAATGATAGTCGAAACACAACATACCAAAACCCATGGATACAGCAAAAACAGTACTAACAGGGAAGTTTATAGCTATAAGTGCCTATATAAAAACGAGGAAAAACTTGGAATGAACAACCTAAAGATGCATCTTAAAAAATCAAAAAAGCAAAAGCAAACCAAACTCAAAATTAGTAGAAGAAAAAATATTATAAAGATCACAGTAGGCAAGGTGCAGGGGCTCATGCCTATAATCCCAGCAGTTTGGGAGGCAGAGGCAGAAGGATGGCTTGAGCCCAGGAACTCCAGACCAGCCAGGGCAACATACTGAGACCCTGTTTATACAAAAAAAATTTTTTAAACTAAGCCGAGCATGGTGGCACATGTCTGTAGTCCCAGATAATTGAGGGGCTGAGATGGGAGGATGACTTGAGTCTGGGAGGTTGAGGCTGCAGTGAGCTGTGAGTGTGTCAATACACTCCATCCTGGGCAACAACGTGAGACTATCTCAAAACAAAACAACAGAAATAAATAAAATTGAAATGAAGAAAACAATACAAAAGATCCATGAAATGAAAAGTTTGTTTTTTTAACAAGATAAACAAAAATAACCAACTTTAGCCAGACTAAGAAAAAAGAGAGAAGATACAAATAAATGAAATCAGAGATTAAAAAGGAGACGTTACAACTGATACCACAGAAATTCAAAGGATCATTAGAGGCTACTATGAGCAACTATGTGTCAATAAATTGGAAAATCTAGAAGAAGTGGATACATTCCAGACACACCAAGATTGAACCATGAAGAAATTCAAAACCTGAACAGAACAAAAACCAGTAATAAGACTAAAGCCGCAATAAAAAGTCTCCCAGCAAAGAAAAGCCTGGGACCTGATAGCTTCACTGCTGAATTCTACCAAACATTTAAGGAAAAATATTACCAATCCTACTCAAACTATTCTGAAAATTAGAGAATACTTCCAAACTCATTCTATGAGGCTAGTATTATCCTGCTGCCAAAAACAAACAAACAAACAAACAAACAAAAAAAGTAAAGAAAAGAAAACTACAGGCCAGTATCCCTGATGAAGACTGATGCAAGAATCCTCATCAAAGTACTAGCAAGACCGGGTGCAGTGACTCACGCCTGTAATCCCAGCACTTTGACAGGCTGAGGAGGGCAGATCACCTGAGGTCAGGAGTTCAAGACTAGCCTGCTCAACATGGTGAAACCCTGTCTCTACTAAAAATACAAAAATTAGCTGGGTGTGATGGTACACGACTGTAATCCCAGCTACTCAGGAGGCTGAGACAGGAGAATCGCTTGAACCCGGGAGGCAGAGGCTGCAGTGAGCCGAGATCTGAGATTGCACCACTGCACTCCAGCCTGGGTGACAGAGCAAGACTCTGCAGCACCCCCCTCAAAAAAAATACTAGCAAACTGAATTCAATAACACATTTTTAAAAATTAGCCAGGTGTGGTAGCATGCACCTGTAGTCCCAGCTACTTAGGAGGCTGAGGCAGGAGGATCACTTGGGCCCAGGAAGTGGAGGATGCAGTGAGCCAAGATTGCGCCACTGCACTCCAGCCTGGGTGACAGAGCGATACTCTGTTTCTAAAAGAAAAAGAAACAAAATGGATTAAATATTTACATTTTAGACCTCAAACTATGAAACCGCTGCAAGAAAACAATGGGGAAACTCTCTAGGACATTGAACTGGGCAAAGAAAACAGTCAACAAAGTGAAGAGACAATCCACCAAATGGGAGAAAAATGTTTGCAGATTTTCCATCTAACAAGGGATTAATAACAGCAAAAATTAGCTCGGAGTGGTAGTGGGCGCCCGTAGTCCCAATTACTCAGGAGGCTGAGGCAGGAGAATCACTTGAACCTAGGAGGTGGAGGTTGCAGTGAGCGGAGATCGTGCCACTGCACTCCAGCCTGGGCAACAGAGCAAGACTCCATCTCAAATAATAATAATAATAATAAAAATAATAACCAGAATATATAACGAGCTCAAACAACCCTGTAGGAAAGGCTGGGTGTGGTGGCTCATACTTGTAATCTCAGCACTTTGGGAGGCTGAGGTGGGTGGATGGCTTGAGTCGAGGAGGTTGAGACCAGTCTGAGCAGCATGACAAAATCCCATCTCTACAAAAAATACAAAAATTAGCAAGGCATGGTCATGTACCTGTAGTCCCAGCTACTCAGGAGGCTGAGGTGGGAGGATTGCTTGAGCATGGGAGGCGGAGGTTGCAGTGAGCAGAGATTGTACCACTGCACTCCAGTCTGGGTGACAGAGAGATCTTGCCTTGAAACCAAACAAAATGAAACAACCCCCCCAAAACAAACAAACAAAAAACCTCATAGGAAAATATCTAGTGATCCAATTTTGAAAATGGGTAAAAGATCTGAATAGACATTTCTCAAAAGACATACAAATGGCAAACAGGCATATGAAAAGGTGCTCAACACCATTGTTCTTCAGAGAAATCCAAGTTAGAACTACAATAAGATATCTCACCCCAGTTAAAGTGGCGTTTATCCAAAAGATAGGCAATAACACATGCTGGCAAGCATGTGGAGAAAAGGGAACCCTTAAACACTATTGGTGGGAACGTAAATTAGTACAACCACTATGGAGAATGGTTTGGAGGTTCCTCAAAAAACCAAAATAGAGCTGCCATACAAGTGTTGGCAAGAGTGTATACAAGAGTGTAAAAAAGAAAGGAATTCAGTATATCGAAGAAATACCCACTCCCATGTTTGTTGCAGCACTATTCACAATTGCCAAGATTTAGAAGCAACCAAAGTGTCCATCAACAGATGAATGGATAAAGAAAATGTGGTACATATACTCAATGGAGTATTATTCAGCCATGAAAAAGAATGAGATCCTGTCATTTGCAACAACATGGATGGAGCTGGAGGTAATTATGTTCAGTGAAACAAGACAGGGACAGAAAGACAAACTTCACTTATTCTCAGTCATTTCTGAGAGATAAAAATTAAAACAATTGAATTCATGGAGATAGAGGGTAGAAGGATGGTTACCAGAGGCTGGGAAAGGTACTGGGGGTGCTGGTGGAAAGGTGGGGATGGTTAATGGGTACAAAAAAATAGAAAGAATGAATAAGATCTAGTATTTGATAGCACAACAGGGTGACTATAGTCAACAATAATTTAATTGTACATTTAAAAATAACTAAAAGGGTATCTAATCCCAGCACTTTGGGAGGCTGAGGCAGGTGGATCACTTGAGGCCAAGAGTTTGAGACCAGCCTGGCCAACATGGTGAAACCCCATCTCTACTAAAAATATAAAAATTAGCCAGTTATGGTGGCATGCACCTGTAATCCCAGCTATTTGGGAGGCTGAGGCATGAGAATTACTTGAACCCAGGAGGTGGAGGTTGCAGTGAACTGAGATCATGCCACTGCACTCCAGCCTGGGTGACAGAGTGAGACTGTCTCAAGAGAGAAAGAAAGAGAGAGAGAGAGAGAGGAAGGAAGGAAGGAAGGGAGGGTATAATTAGATTGTTTTTAACACAAAGGGATACCCCATTTACCCCGATGTAATTATTATGCATTGCATGCCTGTCCCAAAATATCTCATGCATTCCATAAATATATACACATACTATGTGCCCACAAAAAATTTTTTTAATTAAAAATGAAAATAAAAAATTAGCCAGGCATGGCGTTGGACACCTGCAGTGTTACCTACTCAAGGGGCTGAGGCAGGAGGATTCTTTGAGCCCAAGAATTTGAGGTTACGGTACGCTAGGCTTGTGCCGCTATCTTCCAGCCTGGGTGACAGAGCAAGACCCTGTCTCAAAAAATAAAAACAGAATAATAAAAATAAAATATTTGATATGATTTGTTTCCTTTATAATTCTATACATTTTACTTTTAATGTGTCTAGAAACATTATTCTTAGAAGAGGTTCATAAACTTCACCAGACTGGCAAAGGGGTCCGTGGCACAGAAAAGGTTAAGAAACCCGCTAAAGTCTCAGTGCGGGTCTGAGCCCTGTTCCTGGGCATGGAGTTGCCGCCGTTCACCGTAAATATGGCTCATGCATGGAAGACCTGCCACCACGTGGGACTCATGCAACACGGTTGCCTGGAAACTAAAGCCCGATCCGATTGTTACTTTTTTTTTTTTTTTAAGGAAAAAAAGCATCCGATGCCTGTAGAAGGCTGACCATGATCTCCTTGCTCCTACATTCCTCAAAAGACCACCCCCAGGAATTTCCAGCTCCCAGCAGGGAGCACCCTCTTTCCTCCCCTGCACATCGTGGTCTGCCGCTGCGGGGTGGCGGGACGGGGGATCAGCACACTTAGAAATAATCATAATACGGCCGGGCGCAGTGGCTCACCCCTGTAATCCTGGCACTCTGGGAGGCCGAGGCGGGTGGCTCACCTGAGGTCAGGAGTTCGAGACTAGCCTGGCCAATGTGGTGAAACCCCGTCTCTACTAAAAAAAAAAAAAAATACAAAAATTAGCTGGACATGGTGGCACATGCCTGTAGTCCCAGCTGCTCGGGAGGCTGAGGCAGGAGAATCACTTGAACCTGGGGGGTGGAGGTTGCAGTGAGCTGAGATCGCACCACTGCACTCCAGCCTGGGCAATAAGAGCAAAACTCCATCTCAAAAAAAAAAAAAAAAAAGAAAAGAAAAAGAAAAAAAAGGAAATAATCATAATAATCCTCCCTTTTCTCCAATATTTATTAAGCCCTTCCTTTATGTAGGGCTATGTGCTGGGTGCTAGTACATTATGATGAGCCTCAGTTTCCTCAGGAACTCATAATAATATCTCACTTCTCATTGCACTTCACAGAGTACTTTCATACCTCCCATTTAATTCTCACTCCTTGAAGTTGATATAACCATCTTTGTTTTACAAATGAAGACACTGCGAATCAGTAAGGGAAGAAACATCCCCCTGGCAACTGTCAGAGCCTGGGTGTGAAAACAGGCCCTCCGCTGCTGCTTCTGTGGCGTGGGGACGCCCCCTCTGAGCCACTGCTGGAACCAGTTTCTCTGCCGGATGCCCACTGTGACCCGTGGCATGCCCTGACATGGAGGCTGGTTGGATGGGTGTGGCTTGTGGCCTCACCAGGGCCCTGGCTTCCCTAGTTAGCCCCCTGAGACCAGCCCCAGGGTCAGATGTAACGGTAACAATCGACATCTGGCAAATTGGAACACCTTGTGGAGTGTGTCCTCACCTATGCTCCGGAGACTGGCCCTCTTCATAAGCTATGTGGAAAGAAATCCTCGAGATGCAATGTGAAGCCACTCTCTGAGAGCAGCGCACATGGGCACCTGAGGGTCTGGGAGGCAGCCCGGGGCTCTGGAAGGTGCACCATGGTGGACGGTGGACGGGGCACATTTCTTAGGCCCTATACCAGTCAGGGGCAAATGTCCTACAGGACCCCCCAGTTCCTTTTGCTTCTCAGGTTACCTTTTTTTTGAGACTGAGTTCCGCTCTTGTCCAGGCTGGAGTGCAGTGGCATGATCTCAGCTCACAGCAGCCTCTGCCTCCCAGGTTCAGGCGATTCTCCTGCCTCATCCTCCCGAGTAGCTGGGATTACAGGTGCCACCATGCCTGGCTAATTTTGTATTTTTAGTAGAGATGAGGTTTCACCTTGTTGGCCAGGCTGGTCTCAAACTCCTGACCTGAAGTGATTGGCCCGCCTTGCTTCCCAAAGTGCTGGGATTTCAGGTGTGAGCCACCGCGCCCAGCCTGCATCTCAGGAGTTTCTCACTCTTGTTGCCCAGGCTGGAGTGCGGTGGCGCAATCTTGGCTCACCGCAACCTCCGCCTTCTGGGTTTGAGCGATTCTCCTGCCTCAGCCTCCTGAGTAGCTGGGATTACAGGCCCCACCTCCAGTCCTGGTTAATTTTTTGTATTTTTAGTAGAGATGTGGTTTCACCATGTTGGCCAGGCTGGTCTTGAACTCCTGACCTGAGTGAACCACCCGCCTTGGCCTCCCAAAGTGCTGGGATTACAGGTGTGAGCCACCATGCCTGGCCCTCAGGGAACCTTCTAATTGCAGTTTATTTCCCTGAATCCTGACCTCTCAGTGGTTGACTTCTGTGGATGGATTATCTGTGTCAATGTTGCTGGAGTGGAAGACAACAAATTCAGCCTGGGCCATGTTGCATTTCCTTAAAGTCTCAGGTGAAGTGCCCGGCTGTGAGATGGATGCCGTCACGTCACATGGAAATGCGAATGCTGTGCATTCCTTACAGAAATTCCAGACACCAACCCCATACTTTGTTGTGGAAACAATTCTTACGGTAGTTTTAAAATCTGGATGTCAAGGAAAACGAAATCTTATTTTTTCAGCTTCTCAGCAGCTTCACTCCTGAAAAGACGCAGTGCTAATGATTTAATTTGCAGACCTTAAGGAATGTTCTAATTACAAAGGGTGTTAAGTATTCTATGAAGAGGTAAAAATTTTAAAATCTATTTGCGTTACTTTCCAGAATTTTTTTTAAAAGTGCAACCTGAGAACTTGTACTGTTTCTGTCTCTGAGATACCAGGTGAGCAATTCACACTTAATAGATTTTGTCACAGAGATTTTCTCTGTTCTTGCAAATGCTTTTGTAGGCTGGGGAAGCTAAAAATAGAGCTGAAGATAACATTCATCACCTAAAATATACATAATTCTAAAGGTCTGCTGCGTACAGTGATTTCAGGGCTGGCAATTCTCTGCCCAATGCCGGCTGTTTTGATAAGCCTCTAGATGGTTCAGGTTACAATACTGCTTAGCATTTAGCACCGTCGGACATTTAAATTCACATTATCTGGTGACTGAAGTGATGTATTTGTGGCACTCCAAGGGAGGAAGTGGTTCTCATTCATAGGGTATAAGCCACTTTGGATTGGAGAAATCCAAGTTCCAGTTGGATTTTCTGGTGAGTTCCTAAATGACCTTGAGAAACTGGTTCACATGTGAGCTGAAAAATCTTAGTCTCAGCAGGGCATAGTGGCTCACGCCTGTAACCCCAAGCACTCTGCAGGGCTGAGGTGGGAGGACCACTTGAGCCCAGGAGTTCCAGACCAGCCTGGGCAACATAGTGAGACCTCGTCTCTACAAAAAACAATTTTTTTTTTTTTTAATTAGCAGGGCATAGTAGTATGCACCTGTAGTCCCAGCTACTTGGGCAGCTGAGGTGGAAGGACTGCATGAGCCCAGGAGTTAGAGATTTCAGTGAGCTATGATTATGCCACTGCGCTCCAGCCTAGGAGACAGAATGAGATCTTGTCTCAAAAAAAACCCAAAAAACCAAAAAAAATCGTAGTCTGTTGTATTCAATAAAATGAATATGTCATATTTCTTGCTTGAAAGAGTTTGAGTGTATTGAAGGGACAGACACCCTGCATCTTACATATAACGTAATGCTCCACATCCCTAAAGCTTGGGTACAGTGGCGTGTACAACAGTGGGTATGATGGTTTCTTCACCCCTGAATCAACATCACTTTCCAGCTCCTGCAACCACACCTACCTAGCCAGAATCTCTGTCCCAATTACAAGCTCCTGGGTGACAGATTTTTTCTTTTTTTTTAAATCTTTTTTTTAAAAAAATAGAGACAGGGTCTCACGATGTTGCCCAGGCTGGTCTCAAACTCCTGGCCTCAAGCAATCCTCCCATCTCGACCTCCCAAAGTGCTGGGATTACAGGCAGAAGCTACCAAGCCTGGCCCTGGGGACAGAATTTCTCTGACTCAGTTTGGATTCTATCCTCTGGCCTGAGAGGAGGGGGGTCATTTAATAGGGAGGCTGAAGGCCTGGGGCAGTTCTGAGGGGATGAACAGATGCCGAGCTGCAAAAGAAAGCCATGACTAGGCTGCCTCTTCCAAAATCCACCATCTAGCCCCATCTCCACTGGTGGGAAAGTTCTGAAAACCTGGTTCTGACATTTTAGCAGCTGTTATCGAAACCACAGAGATTGAAGCTTTTCTTTCCTTTCAGATACAACATTAATTACTTACTCATATTTTTTTCTGAGGCTGTGTTGACTGTTGAGTGTTCAATAAGGAATGTGTTGACTGAAATAAATGTGTTGGGCTTTCTTAAATAAAACATTTGCCAAGATAAATGCAGCCTTTGGCCCAAGTCCCTTTTGAACAAAGCAGAGACTGGAGCATATCACTTATCCTAGCCATTGAGGGCTCAGCCCCAGTTTATTTGAATCACCTGCATTTTCTGCCCAACAACCTCAGGGTGGGAGGACCTCTTCAGTGCACACCTCGAGAACTTGGAGATTGCTGACACACTCACACGGTGCATTGCCCGAACTCTGCACTTGACTTCGACAGAAAAGGCTCTGGCCTAGCCGTCCACAAAAGGCACCAATGGCCTCGGGGTTGCGTGGGCTGCACCGCCGCCTGGTTTGCTGTGCCGTAGTCACAGCTATACCAACCAAGAGCTTCACAGCTGTCCTTGGACTAGACTGGCCTAGACTCGCAGCGGACATCTTTCTCCCAGGCTGGATGCTTCCTGCCCTTGAACATCAGACTCCAAGTTCTTCAGTTTGGTGACTCAGACTGGCTTCCTTGCTCCTCAGCCTGCAGACGGCCTATGGTGGGACCTTGTGATCACGTGAGTTAGTACTTAATAAGCTCCCCTTTATTTATATATATATATGTATATATATATTTTTATATATATTTATATATGGTGTATATATATTTATATATGGTGTATATATATTTATATATTTATATATGGTGTGTGTGTGTGTGTATATATATATATATCCTAATAGTTCTGTCCCTCTAGAGAACCCTAAGACAGTGGCATCTAATACCAAGTCCGTATTCAGACTTCCCATTTCACAGCCAATTTATCTAAATCAGGAAGCTTACAGAGCCCACTTGTTGTATTGGTTGTTATGACCTCAAAGTTCTAGGAGGAGAACTCAGGGCAAAGGGCAGAGGCAGTGGAGGGTGGCTGTGTCTTCCCAGCCTCCTCCCCTCTGAATTCTCTTTCTTTCAGAAACTCTCTCTAGATTTGCTCTCCCATTACCTTATCTGGATGCAAGCTGTAGTTTGCCTTTAAAACTTTGTCCCTGTAAGGAACTTTGGGGACTTGGGGAAGTGGGAGGTGAGGAGGGGGATGAGGGATAAGAGAATACATATTGGGTTCAGGGTACACTGCTCAGGTGCAGATGCACCAGCATCTCAGAATTCACACTGTAGAACTCGTCCATGTACCCCAAAAACCACCTGTACCCCCAAAACTATTGAAATTTTCAAAATAATTATAATGTTAAAAAGATGGCCGGGCACAGTGGCTCACGCCTGTAATCCCAGCATTTTGGGAGGCCAAAGCAGGCAGATCACCACGGATCAGGAGTTCAAGGCCCAGCCTCATCAATATGGTGAAACCCTGTCTCTACTAAAGATACAAAATTAGCCAGGCGTGGTGGTAGACACTTATAATCCCAGCTACTCAGGAGGCCGAGGCAGGAGAATCCCTTGAAACTGGGAGGTGGAGGTTGCAGTGAGCCGAGATTGTGCCACTGCACTCCAGCCTGGGAGACAGAGCAAGACTCTGTCTCAAAAAAAAAAAAAGAAAGAAAGAAAAAACTGTCCCAGTGACTATAAAAAAATCCCTTTGTATATCTTCTTAATCACAAAGGAAGTAGGCTGCCATCATCTAAGAGGATTACAAAGGCAGCAAAAACATGGAATAAGCCACAGAAAGAACTCAGAGTATACAACGCTATGTTTACGAGCTGGAGGTTCATGATCTACAATAGCTAATGTGATTAACAAGCAAACAGAGCCGGTCCCTTTGCATCCCTGGTTTAAGGGAACTATTTTCTATTCCCAGGAACCTGGTGCAGCTTCGTCTGGGCCCTTCCTTTCCAGCGCCCTGTCTCCACATCGCTGGGGCCTTCCTATTTCCCAACACAAGACAGCATCTAATTATGCATCTAATCCTTCCGTAAGAACAGTAGCAAAGCCTTCTCTCATAAAAATCCCATATCTGGCCGGGTGTGGTGGCTCACGCCTGTAATCCCAGCACTTTGGGAGGCCGAGGCAGGCGAATCACGAGGTCAGCAGTTTGAGACCAGCCTGCCCAACATGGTGAAAGCCCATCTCTACTAAAAATACAAAAAATTAGCTGGGGGTAGTGGTGGACGCCTATAGTCCCAGCTACTCAGGAGGCCGAGGCAGGAGAATCACTTGAACGCAGGAGGCGGAGGTTGCAGTGAGCTGAGATGGCGCCACTGCACTCCAGCCTGGGTGACACAGTGAGACGCCGTCTCAAAAATAAATAAATAAAAATAAAATAAAATAAAATAAATACACAAAAAGACAAACAAACAAACAAAAAAACCCATATCTGTGCCTGATTGAAATCTTCCAGACCTCCCTCTACCCCTGCCTGGTAGTTTCTAGTTGTCCATCCGGGAGGGCAAGTCAAATTCCCAGCTGATCCACAAGGCAGGGTTCTATCCACAAGCCTTTCCTAGCTAGCCTGTCATCTCTGCTCAGCCGCAGAGCATTCAGTGGCAATTTGTTGTTTAGTGTCCTCACTTGTGAAATGGGAGTCTCTTTCTACCTATCTCATAGGCCTGTTGTGAGGCTGAAATGAGATCCTATATGCAATGCCCTTACATTACTTAAAACAGCAAGAGTTGGCCGGGCGTGATGGCTCACGCCTATAATCCTAGCACTTTGGGAGGCAAAGGTGGGTGGATCATGAGGTCAGGAGATTAAGACCATCCTGGCCAACATGGTGAAACCCCATCTCTGCTAAAATACAAAAAATTAGCAAGGCCTGGTGGCGGGCGCCTGTAGTCCCCACTACTCCGGAGGCTGTGGCAGGGGAATCGCTTGAACCCGGGAGGCGGAGGTTGCAGTGAGCCGAGATCACGCCACTGCACTGCAGCCTGGGCGACAGAGTGAGACTCCGTCTCCAAACAAAGCAAAGCAAAACAAACAAACAAAAAAACACCAGCAAGAGTTAATGAATGGAAGTGATGATGGTGGTTGTGGTAGTGTTAGTTCAAACGATGCTGACTCAAGAATATTTCTCCCCCTTCCTCATTCATCCACCCACCACCTGTGATCTTACTGGGAGGTAATCCTGCAAAGGTCTACGTTATAACAATAGAAACATCCTTAACGTAAGGAGGTGCAAAAGAATCCTTCTTAGGTAGAAATATGTATCTCTAGGAAAATACCAAGCATGCTTCAGGGAGGTAAAATCCTGAAGTCAGCCTACAAGTGTCAAAAAAAAAAATCAGTAGAAAGGAGAAACTCCTTTGCCATGAACAAGGGAAAAGGACTAATTTTATTTTTCTTCCTGAAAAGAGGAGAAAAGAGAAGTAGCAGGATTAAAAGAAGCTGGTGGCCAGTTGCAGTGGCTCACGCCTTCAATCCCAATGCTTTGGGAGCCTGAGGCAGGAGGATCACTTGAGCCCAGGAGTTTGAGACCAGCCTGGGCAACATAGTGAGCCCTGTTTCTACAAAACATAAAAAATAAACCAGCCTGGGCAACACAGTGAGACCCCTGCTCTACAAAAAATAAAAAATAAAAACATTGGCCGGGCACGGTAGCTCATGCCTGTAATCCCAGCACTTTGGGAGGCCGAGGTGGGCAGATCACAAGGTCAGGAGTTTGAGACTAGCCTGGCCAACATGGTGAAACCCCATCTCTACTAAAAATACAAAAATTAGCCGGGCGTGGTGGTGTGTGCCTGTAGTCCCAGCTACTTGGGAGGCTGAGGCAGGAGAATCGCTTGAACCTGGGAGGCAGAAGTTGTAGTGAGCCAAGACTGCGCCGTTGCACTCCAGCCTGGGTGACAGAGTGAGACCCTGTCTCAAAAAAAAAAAAAAAAAATTAGCCAGGTGTGGTGGTATGCACCTGTAGTCCTAGCTACTTGGGAGGCTGAGGCAGGAGGATCACTTGAGCCCAGGAGTTAGAGGCTGCAGTGAGCTATGATTGCACCACTGCACTCCAGCATGGGTGACAGAGCATGACCTCATCTCTTAAAAAAAATGGAGAGAGGAGGCCAGGAGCAATGGCTCACGCCTGTAATCCCAGCACTTTGGGAGGCTGAGGCAGTCAGATCACAAGGTCAGCAGTTCGAGACCAGCGTGGCCAACATGGTGAAACCCCATCTCTATTAAAAATACAAAAATTAGCCAGGCATGGTGGCAGGCCCCTGAAATCCCTGCTACTCATGAGGCTGAGGCAGGAGACTCGCTTGAACTCAGGAGGTGGAGGTTGCAGTGAGCTGAGACCATGCCATTGCACTCCAGCCTGGGCAACAGAGGGAGACTCGGTCTCAAAAAAAAAAAAATGGAGATAGGAAGAGTGAGAGAGGCTAGAGCTTGGCCTCCACGGCTCCACAGAGGTAGAGAATACCTTGGGAACCATGATGTTTGTTGTTCTTTGGGAAATTGTTTACATTTTTGTGGTGTGAGCCCCTTATCCATTCCCACTTCCAAAATCCTTTTTTTTTAAATAGAGACAGGGTCCTGCTATGTTGCCCAGGCTGGCCTCAAACTCCTAGGCTCAAGTGATCCTCTTGCCTTGGCCTCTCAAAATGTTGGGATTATAGGCATGAGCCAGCCACTGCCCGGCTACTCCCTCCAAAATCTTGATGACAGCCTATGAATTTCAAAATGTTTCATGCTTGCTGTGGGAGAGGGTTCTGTGAAAGTCAGAGAGGGGGTGGAGAGATCACATAGAAAGGAGAATTAGGGCCAGGCGCGGTGGCTCATGCCTGTAAACCCAGTACTTTGGGAGGCTGAGGCGGGGGATCATTTGAGGTCAGGTGTTCGAGGCCAGCCTAGCCTCGAACATGGTGAAACCTCATCTCTAGTAAATATACAAAAAAATTAGCCAGTTGTGGTGGCGTGCCTATAATCTCAGCTACTCAAGAGGCTGAGGCAGGAGGATCGCTTGAACTTGGGAGGTGGAGATTGCAGTGAGCCAAGATTGCCCCTTGCTCTCCAGCCTGGGTGACAGAGTGAGACTCCATCTCAAAACAAAACAAAACAAAACAAAAGTAAAAAGAGGCTAGGGGTGGTGGCTCATGCCTGTAATCCCAGCACTTTGGGAGGCAGAGGCAGGAGGATCACCTGAGGTCGGGAGTTGGAGACCAGCCTGACCAACATGGTGAAACCCCGTCTCTACTAAAAATACAAACTTAGCCGGGCATGGTGGTGCATGCCTGCAATCCCAGCTACCTGGGAGGCTGAGGCAGGAGAATCATTTGAACCTGGGAGGCGGAGGTTGTGGTGAGCCGAGATTGAGCCATTGCACTCCAGCCTGGGCAACAAGAGCGAAACTCCGCCTAAAAAAAAAAAAAACAAAAAACTAGAAAAAGAAAAAAGAAAGGGGAATTAGGAGACAAAAGATTCGCCGAAATCTCAGAGGGAATGCTTTGGCTTTCCACAGGCCCTGGATTTGGGAGGCTTCCAAGCAAAGACCCTGTCCCCTGTCTGACATCAAGATTACACTAACATTTCAGTAGCCTTGACATACTGATGAAAGGATCTACCCAAACACAGTAAAGGAGAGAGAATCTGGTTCCCTCATAATCGTCGTTATTGTAGCCCATGAACATTCAAGGCTGTAGTTACCCAGTGTCCTTGGATATAGAATTTACTTTCCTAATATGGGAGCAAGGCCTTTCCTAGGATGCATTTATTTCATCAAAAATTTATATCAAAATATCTGGAGAAAACATTTGGTTCTCATAGTAAAGAGCAATTTTGAAATGTTTACCTTGCAAAGTCTATATATTAGAATGGAGTCAATATCTAAATACAATCTGTTGTATTTTGTTCCAATTCCACAGCCCACTTTTGGCCCAGTCACCTGGGTAGTGGCAGATGTCGCTGTGGGTGATCTCATTCTGTCACTTCATGTCTCTGCTTACAAATGTGTCCCCATTCACATATAGGGATGTCACTGACCCCGCCTTGCTGGGGCTGAGCACCAGCTTGATCTCCTCATCCCAGGGCGTGGCTGGCACTGCTCCATCTGCACCTGGTCATATGTCAGCAGGTGTCTGAGACAGAGGCAGAGGTGAGGAAGGTGACACGGGTCCCCTTGGCACCGTGCTGTCTCCCACAGAGCTCACTGACCTTTTGCCATCCATTCCATACCACACACAAAAACAGAAGCCATCTGTTCCCTTCTAGAGTACATCTTCGCATCCCGAGTTTTCCTGGGAGAGTTTCCAGGAGTTTGAGCTCGCCGAGCATGTCATTACCTCTAGGCTTTCAGAAGCAAAGGCACTGATGGGGCTCATGTATGAGAACCCACACAGGCTGGGGAGTGTTTGGAGCAGATGTGAGCAGGGCAAAAATGGAGGGCATTCCACGGCCGCAGCAGCCACAATGACGGAGCACTTGCTTCGTGCCAGGCGCGGTCTTCAGCCCTTATGTGCCTTGTCGTTTTCTTTGTTTGTTTGTTTCTTTGAGACAGAGTCTGGCTCTGTCACCCAGGCTGGAGTGCAGTGGCGCGATCTCAGCTCACTGCAAGCTCCGCCTCCAGGGTTCACGCCATTCTCCTGCCTCAGCCTCCCGAGTAGCTGGGACCACAGGCGCCCGCCACCACGCCCGGCTAATTTTTTTTTTTTTGTATTTTTGGTAGAGACGGGGTTTCACCATGTTAGCCAGGATGGTCTCGATCTCCTGACCTCGTGATCCACCCGCCTCCGCCTCCCAAAGTGCAGGGATTACAGGCGTGAGCCACCGCGCCCAGCGTGCCTTGTCTCATTTACTCCTCATAATGACACCATAAGAAAGGTAGGAATAGGAATCCCGTGTTCTGATGGGACAAGTGGGGTTTAGAGTGGGCCCAGTACTCGCACAACGCCATACTGCTAATTCAGAATCAGGTCTGTATGACCCAAAGCTTAGTTCTTAGTTGTACTAGTCTGCCTTTTTTTTTTTTTCCTGGATTTGGGGTACCATGAGCTATGGCCAAATCTGCTGTCATTTCTTTAGAATCTTGGGGAGGAGGAATGGAAGTTCTCACAGCTTTTTATTTTATAAGGTGAGCTCTTCTCAATTTTGGAGACTCCGGGTCTCTGGTGCTAGGTAGAGTTCCTGATCCAGGACTGGGTGGCCTGAGAAGAGTCTGCCGCTGCTTGGAGTCAGGGCATGTGGCGAGCTCTCCAGCTTCTGGGCAGCTTTTGGTCCAGGAGATCTTCCGAGGTATGTGCAGGAAAACCCCACCGGAAGTGCCTTATTGAGGAGGGGCTCTCCTCACGGCCCCAGTAGGGTAACAAATAAAAATACAGGATGCTCAGTTAAATTTGAATTTCAGGTAAACAAATACTTTTTAAGTATGTTGGCCGGGAGCAATGGCTCACGCCTGTAATCCCAGCACTTGGGAGGCCAAGGCAGGCAGATCACTTGAAGCCAGGGATTCAAGATCAGCCTGGCCAACATGGTAAAACCCCGTCTCTACCCAAAATACAAAAGGTAGCCAGTTGTGGTGGCAAACGCCTGTAGCCTCAGCTATTCGGAGGCCGAGGCACAAGAATCACTTGAACCCAGGAGGTAGAGGTTGCAGTGAGTCAAGATGGTGCCACTGAACTCTAGCCTGGGCAACAGAGTGAGCCTTTGTCTCAAAAAAAAAAAAAAAAAAAAAAAAAAATATATATATATATATATATATATATATATGCAACATCATTTAGGGCTTACTTACATTAGAACATTATTTCTTGCTTATCTGACACTGAACTTCAGCAGGGCATCCTGTATTTTACCTGCAAGCCCAGACCCGGGGTCCTCTGGGACTAGCCTGAGCAGCTGTGGATGGCGACAGGTGTCTGAAAATTCACATCTCTAGGCCAGGCCTGAGGATCTGTCTGCGGCTGCCCAAACCTTTGCTGGGGCCCTGGGTGGCCTGAGAGCATCTGCAGATGCACAGGCCTGGCAGGAGCTGCACAGAGACAATCATAGAAGGGCATCTTTGCATGAAGGAGCCTGGGTGCTGGGCTGCTGAGGAGGTGCCTCTTGGTGCCATGAGGATGGAACGACCTAGGAATAAGAGAGGCAAAATAAAATGCAGTTAAATGCCAGTCTGTCAGCGTATTAATTTGCAGAAGCCCCCATAACAAAGTACCACGAATAGGTGCCTTAAACAACTGACATTTATTTTCTCATAATTCTGGAGGCTGGAAGTCCAGTGTCAGGATGTCAGCAGGGTTCTTTTTTTCTGAAGCTTCTCTCCTTGGCTTGTAGAGGGCTGCCTTCTTGCTACGTCCTCACCTGGTCGTCCCTCTGTGAGTGCTCTCTGTTGCCCAGGCTGGAGTGCAGTGGTGTGATCTTGGCTCACTGCAACCTCTGCCTCCCAGGTTCAAGCGATCCTCCTGCCTCAGCCTCCAGAGTAGCTGGGACTACAGGCATACATGCCTGGCTAATTTTGTATTTTTAGTACAGATAGGGTTTCACCATGTTGGCCAGGCTGGTCTCCAATTCCTGACCTCAAGTGATCCACCAGCGTCCGCCTCCCAAAGTGCTGGGATTACAGGTGTGGGCCCCTGTGCCTGGCCCTAATCCCCTCTTCTTATAAGGACAGCACTAGTATTGGATTAGGGAACACCCTTACGACCTCATTTTAACTTAATTATCTCTTTAAAAGCCCTATCTCAAAATATAGTCCCATTCTGAGGCTTTAGGGGTTACTATTTCAATATATGAATTGGGGAAGGAGGTGCACAGTTCAGCCCATTACAGCCAGAGAAAAGTTCGGGAAACGTGTGGAGTGGTTTGTGCAGGGGAATAGTGCCCTGGGGACCTGGTTCATACCCACAGAGGCCACAGAGGCCAGGCTTGAATTGCAGTGGAAGGTGAGTCTGGATTTAATTTGATCAGCCTGTGATACTCCGGGAGCATGGAGTCATGGGAGGCTTGTGAGACGCTGCAAGACCGTTTTCAACCCGACTCCTACCTTCCTGAGAGGATGGCATGAGATCATTTCCCATCACTTCTCAGGTTTGAGAAAGAAAAAGAAAACTTTTAATCTGAGGAATGTGAGTACTTTTAAAAGATCAGGCCCAGAGAAACATTTAAAATGTGACAGAAGCTGCCTCTCACTCCCCCTTGAGCTAAATAATTTCCTCTTGAAGCCACTTGCTATGTGGGCTCTAGACTCACTGATGCCAAGTAGCCATAAAATGCCCTGCACTAGCATCAAATGCTATAGCTCAGCAACGTAGAGCCAATCAGCATCCAGTGTTCTCCCCGTCCTCCAGTGAGGAGTCCTGGCAGACAACCTTGTATCAGCCCACTCCTTGTTCCTTTTGCCTTTAAAAACCTACTTCTGAGGCTGGATGCGGTGGCTCACGCCTGTAATCCCAGCACTTTGGGAGGCCGAGGTGGGTGGATCACAAGGTCAGGAGATCGAGACCATCCTGCCTAACACGGTGAAACTCCGTCTCTACCAAAAATACAAAAAATTAGCAGGGCGTGGTGGCGCCTGTAGTCCCAGCTACCTGGGAGGCTGAGGCAGGAGAGTGGTGTGAGCCCGGGAGGTGGAGCTTGCAGTTGAGCTGAGATCGTGCCACTGCACTCCAGCCTGGGCAACAGAGCGAGACTCAATCTCAACAAAACAAAACAAAACAAAACCTACTTGTGAAAAAAAAAAACCACTAAAATAAAGAAATAAAACTGAAAGAGAAAAACAAAGAAGAAAGAAAAATAAAAAATAAGAAAAAGAAAAAACAAAAATAAAAAAAATTAAAAAGATAAAAACCACCACAAAAAAATTTAGGCTGTGCACGGTGGCTCATCCCTGTAATCCCAGCACTTTGGAAGCCCATGGCGGCCAGATCTCTTGAGGTCAGGAGTTCCAGACCAACTTGGTCCACGTGGTGAAACCCCATCTCTACTAAAAATACAAAAATTAGCCGGGCATGGTGGCGTGCGCCTGTAATCCCAGCTACTTGGGAGGCTGAGGCATGATAATCACTTGAACTGAACCCGGGAGATGGAGGTTGCAGTGAGCAGAGATTGTGCTGCTGCATTCCAGCCAGGGCAACAGAGTGAGACTCTGTCTCAAAACAACAACAACATAAAGGCCTGCTTGTAACAAAGGCCTAATGGTGCACTCCCCAAGGCAGCCTGGAAGTGTGTCCTGGGCTGCTCTCCTCACTTCGGCTCATGTAACCTCTTTACGTTCTATTTTATGCCTCAGCCCTTTCCTTTTAGTTCAACAGGTTCTGGTGATGTATGGGCCTTCCTCCCTTGCCCTCCCTCATGTCGGGCACAGTTGCAGGTGGTAAACTAGTGGCCGCATGGCAGTAGCTCTTCAGTGACAGCATGTCCCAACACTGGCACTGCAGTCACCTGACCCCTTTTGCTTCAGCATTGCCTGGTGCGAGGGTGATGGGGAGCTAGCATCTTTGCCTACTTTTCCTTTCACCATCTACGTAAGTAATAACCTGAGTTATGGCTTGTTGTTTCTACCCTCTGAGTCTGTCTGTAGGCCTTGCCTTGTGCCTTATACCACAGGAGGCTGGAAGCGTTGACAGCCTACATACAAGGAGGAAGCACCCAGTGGAGAAGAGAGAAGGAGCAAATAAAACATACAGCAATTCTTTTTTAATTTTTCTTTTTAGACGGAGTCTCACTCTTGTTGCCCAGGCTGGAGTGCAATGGTGCGATCTTGGCTCACCACAAACTCTGCCTCCCAGGTTCAAGCGATTCTCCTGCCTCAGCCTCCCTAGTAGCTGGGATTACAGGCATGTGCCACCACGCCCGGCTAATTTTGTATTTTTAGTAGAGACGGGGTTTCTGCATGTTGGTCAGGCTGGTCTCAAACTCCCGACCTCAGGTGATCTGCCCGCCTCAGCTTCCCAAAGTGCTGGGATTACAGGCATGAGCCACCGCACCCGGTCCACATACAGCAATTCTTAAAGGGCAATGAATGGGGTAGGGGAAGGACCAGCTCCTATGCAGTCATGCCAAGGTGAGGGGACAAGCGAAAGACAGTTCGGGTGTGATCAGAGGTGGTGGAAACTGAACACACTCCTGCCCGGATGATTGTGCAGACCAGAATATGCCACCCCAAAATATGCCTCTTTGGCATGGTGACCTAAAAGGAAGAAGCTGAGGCAAAATTAACAGAAGTAGAGAGATTGTTTGGGCCAAACTTGGGGGTGGCAGCTGGGCAGCATAGATTCAAGTTGCCCTGAATATACAGTCTGATGAGTAGCGGTTACAAGTGGACTTTTAAAGACAAAGAAGAGGCAGTTTCTGAGTTGTTTCTCAAGAATTGACATTAAAACAACATAAACTATTGATTGATTATACCTTGTTCTTTGTATCACAAATTCCAGGAACATGAAGATAAAGGGTAAAGCAGCTAGTTAGGAACAAAATGGCTTTAAACAACTACCGCTAGGCGTGGATGTGTGGGCAGCAGGACTGGTCCGTACTCACGTCTTGGTGGGCCTGCATACCTGACATAGCTCAGACTGCTCTGAGCTACTTTTCTTTTCTCATTTCCCCACTGTTGATCAAAAAGCTTCCCATGAAAGTGTCGGTGACCGATCTCTGCTCAGGTGAGAGTGATAGACATCCTTCATAACTCGGCCCTGGGAAGGCTTATTCCGAGATAGTTCTCAGTCAAGCCTCTAATTTATACAACTGATGTTGCTTGTTGAATCATCTCTAGTCTTCAGAATTTCATGCTTTTGGTTTTCTCAGAAGAAGTAAAACAACGAGAAATACATAGTAAAAAAACCTATTCATTTGGAGACTCAGTCCAAATTGTAGGAAAATAATAAAAACTCCTAACAATAGGCAGGGTTAGAATAGAATAACAGGTGTACTATGGTTTTCTTCTGAAACATAACTTTTCCCTTCCTGCAGTCCCCGTTTTTCCCAAAATAAATCTTACTAGGACTGATGTACTTGCAAATAAGTGTTAGTATTATATTTGGGCTGATTATTTGCATAAAGTACAAGAATAGTGATCAGCCATATAGACTCCTTTAGGTCGGCTTCGCTGAACCTTTCATAAGGAATTTCAAACCAGACTCTTAAAAGCCTCAAGGCTAAGAAGCCAAGCCAAGGATTCACTATTAGACTGTACCTGTAATACCTGTGCAAAATGGGTGAGTTCCTCTCTTCTCAGGGTCTCCAAAACATCTTGATGTTTTTGGGTCCATCAGAAAGTGACTTTTTTTTTTTTTTTTTTGAGACAGAGTCTTGGTCTGTTACCCAGGCTGGAGTGCAGTGGTGTAATCTTAGCTCACTGCAACCTCCACCTCCTAGGTTCAAGCAATTCTCGTGCCTCAGCCTTCTGAGTAGCTGGCATCACAGGCATGTGCTACCACGCCCGGCTAATTTTTGTATTTTTAGTAGAGACAGGGTTTTGCCATGTTGGCCAGGCTGGTCTCGAACTCCTGACTTCAAGTGATCTGCCTGCCTCAGCCTCCCAAAGTGCTGGGATTACAAGCATGAGTCACTGCACCAGGCCAGAAAGTAACATTCTTTACTTACTGCAAGATCAGAAACCTTCAAAGGGAACTGTGTACACAAGGTACCAGGCCACTTTTTCGAAGGAGATTTTAATTGACTTTGTAAAGTCAAAATCTCAGTTCCTCAAAGCAGTCTCAAGATATCTGAAAATATGCTATGAGAGTGAAGGCCTTGGTAAAATACCTAGTGTCTTGACTGGGTCCTGTTACATAAAACAGATTCTTATTGAATTTCTACAAATAACTAGATTGCCATAAAATACAATACTCATAGTTTCCAAAGTTTAGAGAAATGAGGTAGAGAGAAAGACAATTGTTTCAATTTTGTTCCTAAAGTTATATTTTACCTAATTGCTATAAGTTATAAGGAGCTCAAAAGAAAAAAGTTTTATTGACTCTAGGAAACAAATATAAAAAGATTCAGCAATGTTTCTAACAAAAAGTCACAAAAATCATTCCAGTCCTCTATCAGGTCAGTCCCATGCAATGAATTCTTGTTCTGCTTGATGTTGGGTTAGCAATCTTCATGAATGCATCAGTTTATCAGAGTTCTAAAAGTTTTTACTTAGTCCAATGATATGATCTCCAAAGTTATCAGAAACCCATATCCGGCCGGGTGCAGTGGCTCACGCCTGTAATGCCAGCACTTTGGGAGGCCGAGACAGGCAGATCACAAGGTCAAGAGATCAAGACCATCCTAGCCAACATGGAGAAACCCTGTCTCCACTAAAAATACAAAAATTAGCCAAGCATGGTAGTGCGTGCCTGTAGTCCCAGCTACTCAGGAGGCTGAGGCAGGAGAATCGCTTGAACCCGGGAGGCAGAGGCTGCAGTGAGCCAAGATCGTGTCACTGCACTCCAGCCTGGTGACAGAGCGAGACTCCGTGTACAAAAAAAAAAAACACACACACCATATCCAAGAGTACTTGTCAGGGCCCTTTTAATGAATGTAAACTGCTTTTTAAGACGAATCAAAGTAAAATAATAATTGTTTGTGGTTGACAAAAGACAGAGAAGTCATGGTTAAAGATGCAATTGACAAGGAATGTGGTTATTTCTATGACATACAACAATTTAGGCCAGGTGCCTAAACTGAATTATCACTTGGGCTAAATGACCTACTATTATTTTACAGGCTCATGCCTATAATCCCAGCACTTTGGGAGGCCAAGGTGGGCAGATCACCTGATGTCAGGAGTTCGAGACCAGCGTGGCCAACATGGTGAAACCCCGTCTGTACTAAAAATACAAAACTTAGCTGGGCATGGTGGCGGGCGCCTGTAATCCCAGCTACTTGGGAGACTGAGGCAGGAGAATCACTTGAACTCAGGAGGCAGAGGTTGCAGTGAACCGAGACCACACCACTACACTCCAGCCTGGGCAACAAGAGCAAAACTCCATCTCAAAAAAAAAAAAAAAAATTAACCATAATTATGTCTGACAATATCAAGACATATCAGAATTTTAGGAATCTCATATAATTTTGGGACACATATTAATAATGTATTCATACAAATATAACTCAAAGAAAGTTGAACACCATTTTTTATTTGACAATGTTTTCTGTATGATTTTAACATAACAAATAGCCTAACATGTACCTCTTAGCCTTCCAGGGCCTCCATTTGCAAAAGACTTGATTTTAGAATTTGAAATTTGATTTGGAAAGCATGTCAAATATTTAAGATTAAAAATACTTGATCAAAATAGAATCATAGGGCTGGGTGCGGTGGCTCACGCGTGTAATCCTAGCACTTTGGGAGGCTGAGGCGGGTGGATCACTTGCGGTCAGGAGTTTGAGACCAGCCTGGCCAACATGTTGAAACTCCATCTCCAGTTAAAAAAACACAAAAATTAGCTGGGCATGGTGGCACTTGCCTGGAATCCCAGCTACTTGGGAGACTGAGGCACAAGAATCACTTGAACCCGGGAGACGGAGGTTGCAGTGAGTCGAGACCGTGCCACTGCACTCCAGTCTAAAAAAAAAAATCATAAGTCACTGTAAAATAATAGTAGGTCATTTAGCCCAAGTGATAATTCAAAGATTTCAGAAAGCAAAAACCTTTGTTTTTTGATAGAGAGGAGACTCAGTTTTCCAAACAATCAAAAGACCTGGGGGACAGGATGGGAAGGGGGTGAGGGATAAAGGACTACAAATTGGGTTATGTGTATGCTGCTTGGGTATGCGTGTACAAATTGGGTTATGTGTATGCTGCTTGGGTATGCGTGTACAAATTGGGTTATGTGTATGCTGCTTGGGTATGCGTGCATCAAGATCTCACAAATCACCACTAAAGAACTTACTCATGTAACCAAATACCATCTGTTCCCCAATAACCTATGGAGATAAAAAAAATTTAATTAAAAAAATCAATCAATGTTTATTTAAAACAACAATAAAAATTGTTGATTTAAACAGCAACAACAAAAACCTAATAAAGATAGCATAAGACTACTAGAATCTGTCTTTCCCTCCTTTTTTTTTTTTTTGGCAATTTACTCAAAAGATGAACAAAAATCTTTTATTGCCAACCCCCCCCTTTTTTTTTGAGACAGAGTCTCACTCTGTCCCCCAGGCTGGAGTTCAGTGGCATGATCTCGGCCCACTGCAAACTCCACCTCCCAGGTTCAAGAGATTCTCCTGCCTCAGCCTCCCGAGTAGCCAGGATTATAGGCACATGCCACCACTCCTGGCTACTTTTTATATTTTTAGTAGAGACGGGGGTTTTGCCATGTTGGCCAGGCAGGTCTCGAACTCCTGACCTCAGGTGATCCACCTGCCTCGGCCTCCCAAAGTGCTGGGATTACAGGTGTGAGCCCCATGCCCGGCCTATTTTCTCTCTCTCTGTTTTTTTTTTTTTTTTTTTTTTTTTTTGAGATAGAGTCTCTCTCTGTCACCCATGCTGGAGTGCAGTGGCAGGATCTTGGCTCACTGCAACCCCACCTCCCAGGTTCAAGTGATTCTCCTCCTGCCTCAGCCTCCCAAGTAGCTGAAATTACAGGCGCCCACCACCATGCCTGGCTAATTTTTGTATTTTTAATAGAGACAGGGTCTCACCAAGTTGGCCAGGCTGGTCTCGAACTCCTAACTTCAAGTGATCTGTGTGCCTCAGCCTCCCAAAATGCTGGGATTACAGGCGTGCGCAACCGCACCGGCCTGTCTCTTATTAATACCATATGAAAATCATGTTCAAAGAGAAAACCAAATTCTATCTTTGTGTCAGTATATTATTCATGCTAAAGCTAATTATTTTTTTGAGAAAGGGTCTCACTCTGTGGCCCAGGCTGGAGTGCAGTGGCATGAATTTGGCTCACTGAAGCCGTGACCTCCTAGGCTCAGGTGATCCTCCAATATCATCAGCCTTTGGAGCAGCTGGGACATAGTTGTGCATCACCATGCTTGGCTAATTTTTTTTATTTTTTTATTTTTAGTAGAGACAAGGGCTCACTATGTTGCCCAGGCTGGTCTCAAACTCCTGGGCTCAAGGGAGCCTCCCATCTTGGCCTCCCAAAGTGCTGGAATTACAGGTGTGAGCTACCGAGTTCAACCCTAAAGCTAATGTTAATAAAACCTAATAAACAAATTAATTCATCTAATCTCAGTCAGCATTGACCACACAGGATAAGATTTCCGTAAACCTTTTTTTTTTTTTTTTTTTTTTTTTAGACAGAGTCTAGATCTGTCACCCAGGCTGAAGTGCAGTAGTGCAATCTTGGCTCACTGCAACTTCTGCCTCCCGGGTTCAAGCAATTCTCCTGCCTCAGCCTTCTGAGTAGCTAGGACTACAGGCGTGCGCCACCACGCCAGGGTAATTTTTGTGTTTTTAGTAGAGACGGGATTTCACCATGTTGGTCAGGCTGGTCTCAAACTCCTGACCTCAGGTGATTCACCCGCCTTGGCCTCCCAAAGTGCTGGGATTACAGGCGTGAGCCACTGCGCCCAGCCATACAAAATTCTTTTCATGAGATTAATCTTTCATAAACCTTCAACAACTTGGAAACCTTCAGCTTTGTCCTACACTTCCTTTCTTATATTGGCATTCCACCTTAAGATAAGAATTTACCACTGGGGACAGTGGCTCACTCCTGTAATCCCAGCACTTTGGATCACCTGAGGCCAGGAGTTCGAGACTACCCTGGCCAACATTGTGAAACTCCCATCTCTACTAAAAATACAAAAAAAAAAAAAAAAAGAAAGAAAGAAAAAAAAGAAAGAAAGAAATTAAAAAAAAAACAAAACATTAGCCGGGTGCGGTGGCGGGCACCTGTAATCCCAGCTACTCTACTCGGGAGGCTGAAGCAGAATTGCTTGAACCCGGGAGGCGGAAGTTGCAGTGAACCAAGATTGCGCCACTGCACTCCAGCCTGGGCAACAAGAGTCAAACTCCATCTCAAAAATAATAATAATAATAATAATAATAATAATAATAATAATAAAGGGGAAAGGGAAGTACCTTTTGTTGTTGTTGTTGTTGTTTGTTTTTTTGTTTTTGAGACAGAGTTTCGCTCTTGTTGCCCAGGCTGGAGTGCAGTGGTGCGATCTCAGCTCATCGCAATCTCCACCTCCCGGGTTCAAGTGATTCTCCTGCCTCGGCCCCGGAGTAGCTGGGATTATAGGCATGCGCCACCACGCCCAGCTAATTTTGTATTTTTAGTAGAGACGGGGTTTCTCTATGTTGGTCAGGTTAGTCTCGAACTCCCGACGTCAGGTGATCTGCCCGCCTTGGCCTCCCATAGTGCTGGGATTACAGGCGTAAGCCACGGCGCCCGGCCTGGAGTTTTATTATTACTCAAATCAGTCTCCCTGAGAATTCGGGGATCAGAGTTTTTAAGGATAATTTGGTGGGCGGAGGCGGGCAGTGAGTCGGGAGTGCTGCCTGGTTGGGCCGGAGATGAAATCATACGGAGTTGAATCTTGCATTGAGTCAGTTTCTGGTTGGGGGACACAAGCTCAGATGAGCCAGTTTATTAAACTGGGTGGTGCCAGGTGAGTCATAAATGCAGGATCTGCAAAATACCTCAAGCACTGATCTTAGGTTTCATAATAGTGATGTTATCTCCAGGAACAATTTGGGGAGGTTCAAAATCTTGCGGCCTCTAGCTGCATGACTCCTAAACTATAATTTCTAATCTTTTGGCTAATTTGTTAGTCCTACAAAGGCAGTCTAGTCCCCAGGCAAGAAGGGAGTTTGTTCTGGGAAAGGGCTGTTATTGTCTTTGTTTCAAAGTTAAACTACAAACTAAGTTCCTCCAAAGTTAGTTCCGTCTACACCCAGGAATGAACAAGGACAGTTTGGAGGTCAGAAGCGAGATGGAGTTGGCAAAGCTAGATTTCTTTCACTGTCTCAGTTATAATTTTGCAGTGCTGGTTTCAAGTGGAAGAAAATAGAAGAACAAGTGTTAAAAGAGGCAATTTGGGGAGATTCTAAGCTTTCTAAAAGGCCAACAAATTTTACACTTTTTTCAGCAGAAATTATGCCAACAAGGTAGGAAGCAAACAGAGGAATCAAACACATTTAAAAAGGGGTTTCAGTCAACTAAGAAAATTCCCAGAAAGAAGATCCAAAAGAGGAAAAAAGCAGGAGGGACTTTTTGTCTTTGTCTAAAAAATGATAGCCCAAGTGTCAGCTTTTAATTATGCTGAGTTCCAATCCTAAAGCTGTAAAAGCCATGGGTGGTGGCTCATGCCTACAATCCCAGGACTTTGGGAGGCTGAGGTGGGAGGATCATTTGAGGCCAGGAGTTCAAGACCAGCCTGGGCAACATAGTGAGACCCAGTCTCTACAAAAAATCAAAAAATTAGCTGAGTGTGGTGGTGCACACCTGTAGTCCCAGCTACTCAGGAGGCTGAGGTGGGAGGATCGCTTGAGCTCAAGAGTTCAGGCTGCAGTGAGCTGAGAATGGCCCACTGCACTCCAGCCTGGGCAACAGAGCAAGACCCTGTCTCAAAGAAAGAAAAAAATAACCCAAAAAATAATATTTTCAAATCTCTTATTATCAGATTTCAGGAAGGACAAACATAAAGGACGTCTTCCACTTGGTTGGTTTGGGTCTAAAACCAGTATTTTTTTTTTCCCAATTGTGTGTGCAGATGAATTATTTTAGACATTTCAGAGAATCTCTCTTTTGGCTACTGCTGCTTGTGGCTCTCCTGGGTTAGATGGTTTCACTTACCTAAACATTTACAAGAGAATTTCCATCAGCGCTATACATAAATCCAGCCGGTGTCTCTAAGAAGAGCACTTAGATTTTGAAGCTTAATTTCCCATAATTGATGAACTATTCTGTTTTGTTTTTTTTTTTCTTTTCCGAGACACAGTCCCGCTCTGTCGCCTAGGCTGGAGTGCAGTGGTGCGATCTCAGCTCACTGCAAGCTCCACCTCCTGGGTTCACGCCATTCTGCTGCCTCTGCCTCCCCAGTAGCTGAGACTACAGGTGCCTGCCACCACGCCTGGCTAATTTTTTGTATTTTTAGTAGAGATGGGGTTTCACCATGTTAGCCAGGATGGTCTCGATCTCCTGACCTTGTGATCCGCCTGCCTTAGCCTCCCAAAGTGCTGGGATTACAGGCGTGAGCCACGGCACCCAACCTAGAATTGGTTGTTGTTCTAAGCAATTAGGTTTCGAGGTGGTTTGTTATACTACAATAGACAACAGAAGTCATGAAACTTCTTCCACATTGCTAGAGTATTCTTTCTCTTTTTTGAGATGGTGTCTCTCTCTGTTGCCCAGGCTGGAGTGCAGTGGTGTGATATCGGCTCACTGCAAGCTCAGCCTCCCAGGTTCACGCCATTCTCCTGCCTCAGCCTCCCGAGTAGCTGGGACTACAGGCGCCCGCCACCATGCCTGGCTAATTTTTTTTTGTATTTTTAGTAGAGACGGGGTTTCACCATGTTAGGCAGGATGGTCTCGATCCCCTGACCTCATGATCTGCCCACCTCGGCCTCCCAAAGTGCTGGGATTACGGGTGTGTGCCACCACGCCTGGCCAATGAACTTTTCAAAAGTGACCAAGGTCAGGGATGTGGTTAGGGTCAAAATGTGACTACACCTGCCAAGTGGCAGCAGAGTGCTCCAGTTATGGGGGATTGGACCCTCATACCTGTTTGGGAGAGCAAAAAGTGGGTATACTTTCAGTTAGGAATAACTGGTCAGAAATGAAAGGCTAAGTCAGAATTTTCTTTTTTCTTTTTTTTTTTTTTTGAGACGGAGTCTCGCTCTGTCTCCCAGGCTGGAGTGCAATGGCGCAATCTTGGCTCATTGCAGGCTCTGCCCCCCGGTTCACGCCATTCTCCTGCCTCAGCCTCCGAGTAGCTGGGACTACAGGCGCCCGCCACCACACCTGGCTAATTTTTTGTATTTTTAGTAGAGACGGGGTTTCACCGTGTTAGCCAGGATGGTCTTGATCTTCTGACCTTGTGATCCACCTGCCTCGGCCTCCCGAAGTGCTGGGATTACAGGCGTGAGCCACCGCGCCCAGCCCTAAGTCAGAATTTTCAAATGATAGAAAACAGCTGTAATCTTAAAATCATGCTATGTAGGCCGGACGTGGTGGCTCATGCCTGTAATCCCAGCACTTTGGGAGGCTGAGGCAGGCAGATCACTTGAGGTCAGGAGCTTAAGACCAGCCTAACCAACATGGCAAAACACTGTCTCTACTAAAAATACAAAAATTAGTTGGACATGGTAGTACTACTTGGGAGGCTGAGGAATGATAATCGTTTGAACCCAGGAGGTGGAGGTTGCAGTGAGCCAAGATCGCACCACTGCACTCCAGCCTGGAAGACAGAGTGAGACTCTGTCTCAGAAAGAAAGAAAGAAAGAAAGAAAAAAGCATATTGTGTAAAACAAAACCACTGGTGCCTAACTGCCAATCCTTTGACTTGAACCTCTGCTGTGAGGCAGAGGTAGAATAAAGACAGTTCTCTGCATAGCTCTTTACACAAATTTCCTGTGCAAAGACAGAGACTGAGGCCCTCACGCTCAAAGACAAGAAAGCATTTGCAAAACAGCTCAGATAGTCTAGACCTTCAACCAAAGAGTGAGAGGTCTGAATTTAGGAGAACTCACCAGAAACACCCAACAGTGAAACCACCATTGCAAAATTGTAACTGAGATGGTGAAAGAGATGTCACCTAACCAACTCCAACTCCATCTTGTTTCTAACCTCCAAGCTGTCCTTGTTCATTCCCGGGTGAAGGCTGAACTAACTTTGAGTGGAACTTTTTTTTTTTTTTTTTTTTTTTGAGACACTGTGTCGCTCTTGTCACCCAGGCTGGAATGCAATGGCACGATCTTGGCTCACTACAACTTCTGCCTCCTGGGTTCAAGCGATTCTCCTGCCTCAGCCTCCTAAGTAGCTGGGATTACAGGTGTCAGCCACCATGCCCAGCTAATTTTTATATTTTTAGTAGAGACAGGGTTTCACCATGTTGGTCAGGCTGGTCTCAAACTCCTGACCTTAGGCAATCTGCCTGCCTTGGCCTCCCAAAGTGCTGAGATTACAGGTGTGAGCCACCGTGCCCAGCCAAGTGGAACTTAGTTTATAATTTGAAAGGAAGATGATAGCCCTTTCTGGAAAGAAACCCCCTTCTTCCCTGGGGACTAGACTGCCTTTGTAGGACCAATAAATTAATCAAAAGATTGGAAATTATGGTCTAGGAGTCATGCAGCTGAAGACTACAAGATTCTGACCCTCCCCAGATTCCTCCTGGAGGTAACATCACTGTTGTGTAAAATCTAAGAACAATGCTTGAGGTATTTTGCAGACACCACCCAGCTGGTACCACCCAGCTCAATAGACTGGCTCATCTGATCTTGTGGCCCCAGCCCCGACCCAGGAACTGACTCAGCACAAGAGGACAGCTTCGACTCCTGACGGTTTCATCTCCGGCCCAAACAATCAGCACTCCTGACTCACTGGCTCCCCTCAACCCACCAAATTATCCTTAAAAACTCTCATCCCCAAACGCTCGGGGAGACCGATTTGAGTAATAATAAAACTCCAGTCTCCGGCACAGCTGGCTTTGCTTGAATAACTCTTTCCCTATTGTAATTCCCCTGATTTGATAAATCGGTTCTGTCTAGGCAGCAGGCAAGGTGAACCCACTGGGCATTTACAATAGGACTCCTGAAGACAGAGAGTTCATGCTAGTATCAAGGCCATTTTCAGAAACAGTGGTGGTGTTAGTCTCGCCAATGCACCACAATGTAGCAGTCTCTTGTTGTGAGGTATCACTTGGAGTTCTTTGTCTCAGGACCAAGAAATTAAGGAGTGTGGATACAAAGGAAAGGGTGAGGTTGGAGCAAATGTTTAATAAGTGGAAGAAAGCTCTCCACTGCAGAGATGGGAACCAGAGGAGGGCTGCTGTTTTTACAGTTGAATGCAAAGGCTTTTATAGGAAACCGATGAGGGCTGGGCATCTCATTTGCATATGGTGCCAATTTCTGGTAGCTTCGCCCCATCCTCATAATGTGAATGTGGGCCCTTAGCTTGAGTTCATCCATATTGCTTTGTTCCCCTTACTGCACATGTGTCAGGGGATGGAAATTTCCATTGCGGGCATGTCTGGGCAAGTCACCCGTGTAGGCTTTCTTGTCTGTGCAGCTGTGGGCATGTCTTAGACAAGCCCCGCTGTGCAAGTTCCCTTATCTGTGCCTTCAGGCTGTTCTTTGAAAGGATTCAACTGAGGACCCACCCTAACTGCCTGCCTGACCGGATTTTTTCCTTTCTCCTTTCTCAGTGGGGATGAGGTAGGGGGACAGTCACTCTGAATCCTGCCAACTACACTGGATATGTCAACTTAAAAGGAAAAAGCAGAGGCAAAACTAATATAAGTAGAGAGCTGATTTGGGCCCAAGCTTGAGAACTGCAATCTGTGAGCATAGATTCAAGTTGCCCTGAAGATACGCTCCAATTAGCAGCAGTTGCAAGTGGGTTTTTAAATGGAAAGAAGGCCAGACGCAGTGGCTCACACCTGTAATCTTAACACTTTGGGAGGCCGAGGTGGGTGGATCATTTGAGGTCAGGCCTCCATGGCCACCAGTTTGGGCTCCATGGTGAAAACTGCCTCTACTAAAAATACAAAAATTAGCCAAGTGTGGTGGCGGGCGCCTGTATTCCCACCTACTTGGGAGGCTGAGGCAGGAGAATGGCTTGAGCCCAGGAGGCAGAGGTTGCAGTGAGCCAAGGTCACGCCACTGTACTCCAGCCTAGGCGACAGAGCAAGACTGTCTCAACAGAAAGAATAAAAAATAAAGGGAAAGAAGAGGCAGTTCCTAAATTGTTACCAAGAATTTGCACTACAGTTGGCTGGGTGCCGTGGCTCATGCCTGTAATCCTAGCACTTTGGGAGGCCAAGGCAGGCGGATCACCTGAGGTCAGGAGTTCAAGACCAGCCTGGCCAACATGGTGAAACCCTGTCTCTACTAAAAATACAAAAAAAAAAAAAAAATTAGCCTGGCATAGTGGTGGGCACCTGTAGTCCCAGCTACTCAGGAGGCTGAGGCAGCAGAATTGCATGAACCCAGGAGGTAGAGATTGCATTGAGCCGAGATCGCACCACTCCAGCCTGGGCAACAAGAACAAAACTCCTCCGTCTCAAGAATAAATAAATAAATAAATAAATACAATAACATTAAGCTATTGGTTGGCCATACATTGTTCTTTGTATCACAAATTCCAAGAGCATGAAGATAAAGGGTGAGGCTAGTCAGGAACAGAGTTAAATAATTGCCCCCAGGCATGTGTAGGAGCCTGGGATGATGTAAAGGGTCCACAACTGAAGTCCTGTAGCCTTGTGGATCTGGGCCTGCACACCTCACATAGCTCAGACATCTCTGAGCTATTTTTCTTTTCTTAGGTATAAGGATTATTTTGAGCTGGTTGTTTTGAGAAACAGCAGAGACAAGAGAAGCTCTGAAAACAAGAGTGGTTACCCTTTTGTAAGAGAAATTTACATTTGTAAAAAAAAAAATACAGGTGGGCCTGGTGCCTTACGCCTGTCATCTCAGCACTTTGGGAGGCTGAGGCGGGTGGATCACCTGAGGTCAGGAGTTCCAGACCAGCCTAGCCAATATGGTGAAATCCCATTTCTACTAAAAACACAAAAATTAGCTGGGCATGGTGGTGTGTGCCTGTAATTCCAGTTACTCGGGAGGCTGAGGCAGGAGAATGGCTTGAACCTAGGAGGCAGAGGTTGCAGTGAGCCGAGATCGCGACACTGCACTCCAGCCTGGGCAACAGTGCGAGACCATGTCTATAAACAAATAAATAAATAATCTCCATTTGTAAGAGTGTCTTCCTCCTGGTACTAGAAAGAGGAAGATGACTCTGCATCACTGGAGACTCTGATTATTGGAGAAGGCACTGATTTAATCTGTATAACAAATCTTGCCCTCTTTTACCCTTTTTATCCCAGGCACTTTCTCTTTCCTGGCCTCAGCTCTACCCTTCTATCTTTGGTTCAGTTGAAGATGGTAAGGCTGGATGCGGTGGCTCATGCCTGTAGTCGCAGCACTTTGGGAGGCCGAGGTGGGTGGATCACTAGAGATCAGGAGTTTGAGACTATCCTGGCCAACATGGTGAAACCCCATCTCTACTAAAAAAACAAAAATTAGCCTGGCGTGGTGGCGTGTGCCTGTAATCTCAGCTACTCAGGAGGCTGAGGCAGGAGAATCACCTGAACCCAGAGGTGGAGGTTGCAGTGAGCTGAGATTGGTGCGCTCCAGCCTGGGTGATAGAGCAGGGGGAGAAAAAAGTATTGGAGCAGGAACTAAAGGAAGTAAAGCACAGTTGAAGAGGGCCAAATGGGCGACTTGAGCGATCCAAGTGCACTGTTCAGCCTTTGACTTGGGGCTTTATACGTTGGCATGCTTCTGGGGGGCTGTGTTCCTTCTCCCAGTTCCTCCCGTGGGGTGGGCTGTCTGCGCGTGTGGTGGGCTGCATGTCGCACTTGAGAGCAGGGGCCGCATGTGCAGTGCGTTTACTGAAGTTGTGTGCATACTCATTTGAGTCAGCTGAGTGTTCCTAGAAGGTCAAATACCAGTTAAACTCCGCCGCTTTGCCTCTTAGTGCACATACTTGAGCCTACTTGCCCAGCTCCTGAGAACTTACTGGCAGGCTGCTAATCACCAGCATCAGGTGTTTTCTACCTATTGGGAGACCGCCTTTTCCTGGTGCCTGCTGTGACCCATTATTATTTTGGAAAGAAAGTATAACAACCACCTGACCATCACCTGGTGGTTGTCTCACGTTCCCGGCAGGGGCGGTCTCCTGCTCAGCTCATGTCTGCCTAGCTGCCTATTCTAACAAGCAGAGGTTGATCCCTACTACTGGGAGTGGAGTCTGTCAGGAGAAAGACGGGAGACAAATGTGGGGATGACCATGGAGGACCCAAGATTTCCAGAACCCATTTCAGGTCTTGGGCATCCTCAGTAGAGTTCACTTGTGGGGGATCCCGGAGCAGACCCTCAGAGCAAGGTGGAAGGGCCAGGCCCAGATGGTCTTGGGAGGGTGCTGGGTACACGGAAGAGCTGATGAAAACAGGCACCTTTAAGGCTGGGTTAGGTCATCCAGACCCTCCCTCTGGGCCTCTGCCTCTCGATTTGCCCTCCTCAGGGGCCCTGCCCATCCGGAACAGGGCCAGCAGCAGAGCCCCTCAGCACCACTGCTCTGTGCATGAGTTGTTAAGGAGAAAATAGGTAGGAGCAAACTTAGGAGCGTGAAGTCATTTTCATTCTTGTGAAGAAGGAACCATGGGCACAGGCTTGTCCCCAAATCTTCTACCTTGCTCAGGGCACAGCGTGTTGGTCTGGACTAGATGATGTAGTCACTTAAGGACCATGAAAGGGAATACAGAAGGGACACAGCTAAGCAGATGTGTTCCTCCCAGGGCCGGCCCAGTGTCTGCTGCAGGGCCTCTCCCGAAGGACAGGGACAGGGCCTCTCTGGTTGGCCTCATGAACAGTCCTGCATACGTCCTACAAGCTTGTCAGCATCTGGAGATACTCTGTCAGCTCTTCTTTTCCAAGCAATCCCCAGTCTTGTAGGAAATGCTGGATTTCCTGGTCTTTGCAAGGAATGGCTCAATTTCATGCTTTTCTGCCAGAATACTGGGATGGACAAACTTGAAGTCCAGTTTCTTCATAAGTGTCTATCCAGTGATAAAATTAATTTCCCATTTGGTAGGAGGGCAACAATTTCATTTAAAAAAATTATTTGCATCAATATTTGCATTGTATTTTAGTGCATAGCATGAACCCTTCATTCCACTCACTCTCCATGGGGAGGGGGCCCCACGGAGTCAGCTGCCAGAAGAGCTTTGGATACTGCCCTGCCCCTCCCTCCAGGGCTGTGCCCAGAGTAGCATTTTTTTTTCTATGCCGTGACATTTTTTTTGTATTTTTTGTAGAGACAGGGTTTCTCCATGTTGCCCAGGGTGGTCTCGAACCCTTGGCCTCAAGTGATCCGCCCACCTTGGCCTCCCAAATTGCGGAGATTATAGGCATGAGCCACCACGACCAGCCCCCATAGCAGCTATTATTATTTAACTTTGCTTTGGAGAAAATTAATAAGCACGAAAATATGTATAAAAAAGCAGAAAAAAGGAGTATTTCTTTTTTGTATTAGTTTTACAACATTTCTTCAAAAATCTTATGTTTGCAATCAGAAAAAAAATTATTTAAAAAAAACAATCATAGTCTTACAAGAAAGAGGCCTTTGAGTGAGGCGAGATGAAGAAAATTAGGTTTTGAGATCTTTCCTGAAACTCTGGTTCCCTGTTAACAGAAAAGTGCTGAGACCACCTGAAACCAGTTCACAAAATACAAATCTCCAGCGCAACACACGCCTGAGGCTGAAACCCACGCCTCGACCCAGGGGAGGCTGCGCAGCCCCCTGCTCGTGGACGCTGTGTGTCTTCGTGAACCAGGAGTTGGGCCCCAGGAACTTCCAAGATTCCTTCTTGTCCAGGTGAGGCCATATGTGTAAATCAGTTCGCAGCGAAATTTGGCCGACTTATTTGAGGGATTCCTTGGGTCGCTGGATTCTGGTGACCCCGTCATTGGCAGAGGGCGAGGGCTCTGCTGGGCATTGTGGGGTCACCGTTGGGGTTTCCTGGGCAACCCAAGCGCGTAGAGGGGGCCTGTGGGTACATTCCCGGGAGAGGACGCGAGGGGCCCTTTGGAGTCCTGGAGGCGGCAGCGTTGTTGTCCAGCCCGACGGTTCCCGAGATGTGGGCCCCGCGCTCCGAGAAGAGGCCTGCGCGGGCCATGGCGGCCCCCCGGTTTGGTGGCCCCCGGCGCGGCGGCGCGCAGCACGAGCTGCTGGAGAAGGCGGCGCGCCTGGAGCGGGGCCCCCCTCCGCGCGGGGATCCGGAGGCGGTCGGGCGGCGCGCGGTGGCCGGCGACGGCGGCTCCTGCTCTGGGTGCTGGTGCTGGCGGCGGCTGTTCCGCGGCCCGCGCAGGAAGAAGCTCAGGCAAGCTCACGCGCGCGCAGGCAAGGAGGCCCCGGAGCGCGGCCTGTGGGGCCCCTCGAGCCTGCAGAGGCTGCTTCAGAGGCTGGCGACGTGGAGGCGGCGCTACCTGCGGCGCAAGGAGCGGCCGGACCGGCTGGAGGAGATCCCGCTGCTGGTGCTGGACCGCGCGCAGGGCGGCCACGAGGCCGCGGCCGGACCCCAGAGCAGCGTCCCCGGGCGGCCCGCGCAGGCCGCCCCCGCGCGCCAGCCCCGCCGCCGGTCAGCCACGAGGAGCCGGTCCCCCGTTGCGCCCCCTGTGCACGCTCAGGATTGTTTTTTTCTTTTTGGTCAACAAAAGCAATAAATGAAAGTAACCCCAGCACCGTAGGAATGAAAGCACATGCAATGTTGGGGGGATGTGCATGGAAACCAAGGGTTATCTTGAGGTTCGCAGCGAGCTAAACGAGCCGCGTCCTCCTCGCAGCCTCTCTTTGGTCCGAGGGCCTCGGAGCAGTAACTAAAGCCTGCGGGTGCCGCGGAGCCCTGGGTTCCCCCCGCTGCGCAGTTGCTGCGGGCTGGGAAGCGCTGAATCGGGGGCGGATTGTCTCTTCCTAAACACTGCAGGGGAGAAGGTGGGAAACGGTTTTCAATCTCTGCAATGCCTTTTTTTTGAGACAGGAGAAAAAAAAAAAAAACCAACTATGTTGCCCGGGCTGGACTCAAACTCCTGGGGTCAAGCGATCCTAAGCCTCCCAAGCGTTGGGATTGCAGGCGTGAGCTACCACGCCCCGTCAAAAAAATAAAAAAATCGTTTAAAGCAGGATGCTGAGCTTCACATCCCACTTTGAAGTGAGCGAACTCTACTTTTATGCTTTTGTTGACAGGCATTTAGGAAGGGTGGCTTGGGGTGGGGGTGGGACAGGGGAGTTTGGAAACCAGGGCTAGACTTAGAAGAACAAAGGGAAAGGACTCCTGGAGGCTCCCAGATGGGTCTTGAATGTCTTCCTTTTCCTCATCAATAAAAACCTGCTAATGATACTCCGGCTCTACAGACTCGTGAGGATGAAAGTAAAATAGTAGAAGTGAAAGTGCTGTGGGGACTCTGAAAGCGCGACACACCTTACGGGTAGTTACTAAACTGTGATAATGGTCTCTCCGCAGGCTGTTCCCAGCCAGACTAGCATCCACCCCTCCCTCTCCCCTCACTGCCTCACGCGCCAAAGCTGGCAAGCTTTTCACTAGCTCACCCTTTTCTTCTTTTTCTTTCCTTTCCGTCTTTCTTGAGACAGAGTCTTGCTCTGTCGCCCAGGCTGGAGTGCAATGGCGCGATCTCGGCTCACCGCAACCTCCGCCTCCCGGGTTCAAGCGATTCTCCTGCCTCAGCCTCCCAAGTAGCTGGAATTACTTGTGCATGTGCCACTATGCCCGGCTAATTTTGTAGTTTTAGTAGAGACGGGGTTTCTCCAGGTTGGTCAGGCTGGTCTCGAACTCGCGACCTCAGGTGATCCACCTGCCTCGGCCTCCCAAAGTGCTGGGATTACAGGCATGAGCCACCGCTCCCTGCTCAGTTTACCCTTTTCACTAGCAAGCTAAAAACGCCAAACTGCGAGCCTGGAAGCTCTCCACTTGATTGTGCAGCTGTTGAAGCGGCTTTGGAGTCCCTGGCGCCTTCCAGGCAGGGATTTCCCCTCCCCGTTGACCTAGAGCGTCAACGCTGGGGAAGGGGCCAGCGTTTAGGGAGGTAAAGGTGGGAATATTGTTGGAGGCCAGGCGTTCAAGACCAGCCTGGCAACATGGGGAGGCTTCTTCTCTACAGAGAAATTTAAAAATTGAGCTGGGTGTGGTGGTGCGCGCCTGTAGTCCCAGCTACTTGGGAAGCTGAGGTGGGAGGATCGCTTAGGCCCCAGTGTTCAGCTGCGGTGAGCTGTAATTGTACCACTGCACTCCAGCCTGGGCAACAGAGCCAGACCCTGTCTTAAAAAAAAAAAAATCACTGGGGGAAGGGTGGGAGGTGGAGGATCATGATGCCTGATACTTGAACAGTGAACCTAGGAAGATGAAAAACAGAAAAACCAAGGTATACGCTAGAAAGCCGAGGCCAGGAGCCGGCGCCCCATAGGGAAGAATTCTCTGTAATTCTGTGACTTGGGGTTGGTTAGGTGCATTTTGTATTTCTCCTAGCTTCTTTATTCTTGTCGTTGCCCAGATAGATGAAATTGCTTTGTAGGTCTGTGATAGAGGAAGGCGTTTTTACCAGAAAAGCCACTAAACCTCATAGCCCCATCCTTAGGAGGAAGGCCATCCTGTTATCCTGCCTATAGCTGACTGGGCGGGGGGTCCCGTGATGCCTGAATTAAAAGCTGTTCTGTAGGTAGCAGCCCAGTTGAACCCTCTCTGCTTCGAGAGGTTGAAGCTAAGAGGCCGGTAAAGAAAAGACCGCTGGAAGAATGCCCAATTGCTGAATTCTCAAATCCTGGACTAGAGGTGCTGTTGAATAATGTGTAAGACATTCCACCTATTTAATGTTTTCTGGGTTTGTTTCCGAAAGGAAAGAGACAAACTACAGTTAATTCTCTGACCCTTAATTTATTTGAATGTAGCCATGCCTTTTTGTTTCGACTGTCTCGTGGCCCTCTGCAGTACTTCCTCTTCACTAGGCTGAGGAAATTGGCCTAGATTATGTCTCCGTCTGTGGGGACCCCTCTCTACTCACACACACACACACACCCAGGCTTGGTGTATAAGCACGTAGCATAATGTAAATGCTCAACTTATTTAGAGAATTTATTAGGGTGGTTTCACGTGTGTCCTCTGTCTCCCTAGTTTCACTCTTAGGTATCCACACAAAGCCTTACCTTTTTGGCACTGTGCTGTCGGCCTTCAATTGGCTCCTCTTGGCTGTTGATTAGAATGGCTGTCTCCCAGGGCAAGAGCAGAGTGGTAGCTTCTACCAGATTTGCTGGGTTGATACACCAACAGATGTCTCCCACTAAGGCCCCAATTCAGCAGAAGCATGGTCCTTGGATGCAGAGAGAGCACCCAGGCTGCATTACATTGTTGGGGTTGAGTACCTGCAGGTGGTTCCTTCTGCCACTGCCCCCTCCCTGCCCCACCTCCACCCCCAAGCTTAGGAATTTGCAGTATTTCATGGTGACAACTTTTATCTCTGATCTTGCAGAGCTGCATTAGGACCAGCATGGGACTTTTTCTTCCTCCCATATCCATCTTCTTTCTAGCTGAAAACCAGTTTAAAAAACCAACAAAAATGTAGTGCCTCATTATTCAGCCATCTGTGGTTGAGTGTTTTCTGGTGTAGATATTCCAGAAACATGTCTCTTGGCCACAGGAGGTAAGTCAGGTTGAGTTTTTGTGTTAGTGAAGCTCTTTTAGTTTCCTCTTTTAGAGACTTTTCTATCTAGCCTCAGATTCCTTTAAGGTAAAGTTACCTTAAAGGGGGGCCAAGCGTGGTGGCTCACACCTGTAATCCCAGCACTTTGGGAGGCCGAGGCAGGTGGATCACGAGGTCAGGAGTTTGAGACCGGCCTGGCCAACATAGTGAAACCCCATCTCTAGTAAAAATACAGAAATTAGCCAGGCGTGGTGGCCTGTGGTCCCAACTACTCGGGAGGCTGAGACAGGAGAATCGCTTGAACCCAGGAGGCGGAGGTTGCAGTGAGCCGAGACCACACCATTGCACTCCAGCCTGGGTGACAGCGTGAGACTCCATCTCAAAAAAAAAAAAAAAAAAAAAAAGGAATCTAGGGGAAATGTGTTTATTATAAGGAAACACTGTGCTGAAAATGGGGCTAGATCACAGCCCTGAGGCGTGTTGGAGCTGAGTCCTCCTGTGGGCTGAGCCTCCCTCCCTGCTCCCCATGCAGGCCTGTCCTCTTTCTCTCTTCCCATTGATAATCACTCTGTATCCTCCCAGACAGATCTGTCTGAGGGATGTGGTCTGATTGACTTTGGTAATTACCACCATTGCTATTGGTGAAGCCAGGCTACTTTCATGGCTGTCTTCCTGGGGTCTAGCTGCCTTTGGATCAGGGGTCCTACCCTTGGTCCAAACCCCTAGTTAAGAGAAGCCTAGTACTGCTTTCCTGAAAAGGCAGTAGGGGTGTGCTGGGTGCTGCAGAGTTTTCATTAGAATAGACTGTTGGGTAAGACAGGCCCCGTGATTGACATGTTCAATTTGAGTTAGTAAAACTCATGGCTATCATTGTGTTTAAGCCCTGAGAGGTGCCCAGCCAGAAAGAAGGAGGATGTCTTCAGCAGTTCTGCACCCTGAACTCTATGAGATGGGGTTTCTAGAACTGCTTCTGCCCTAACAGGTGGCTTGGCCCTTCCATCTTGCTTCCCCTCTTTCTAATTAACAATAAATTTTGGCCAGGCATGGTGGCTCACACCTGCAATCTCAGCATTTTGGGAGGCCAAGGTGGGAGGATTGCTTGAGGCCAGGAGTTTAAGACCAGCCTGGGCAACAAGGCAAGACCCCATCTCATTTTAAAATAATCAACCAATCTTTTTCTTTAACTATAACAACGACAGCATGACTCCCGTGTTCACTGGCTGTTCTTAGGTGATCTGCATATAGTTTTGTGAGTTTGACAGGACAAGGAGTCTTACTATGTATATATATATTTTTGAGACAGAGTCTCACTCTGTTGTCCAGGCTGGAGTGCAATGGCGCCATCTTGGCTCACTGCAACCTCCGCCTCCAGGGTTCAAGTGATTCTCCTGCCTCAGCCTCCCGGGTAACTGGGACTACAGGTGTGCACCATTATGCCCGGCTGATTTTTGTATTAGTAGAGACGGGGTTTCACCATGTTGGCCAGGCTGATCTTGAACTCCTGACCTCAGGTGATCTGCCCTTCTCAGCCTCCCAAAGTGCTGGGCTTACAGGTAGGAGCACCGGCTCTTGCTATATTTTAAAATAAGAATACAAGGCTCAGAGAGGTTGTACTAACTTCTAATGACCAAACAGCGATTTGGAAATATTTCTTATTTCAAGTCCAGTGCAATTTGTGGATCAGAAAAGCTGTGATGGCAGAAGGCCTTTGCAAATAGGAAATCATGTTTATAAGTTTCTGGTACATGGTTGGTGTGCTTATTGAGTGAATGAGCCAATGAAAGTACCTCAGGGAAATTGGGAAACCTTCCTTCCTTTGAAAACTCTTTTTTCCCCAAAGGGAGAATGTCATCAACTTCAGAGCTTGAAGGCAATTCTTTTTCTATTCCACGTACAGCAGGAAAGACACCAAAGGCTATGTCACACAATTTTGAGAACCCATTAACTCCACAAAGTGAGACAACTTGGTACATGAGAGTTTCTTTCTTTTCTCGATATGGTTTATTTAGACTTCTGATCTTGAAGGAAAAAAAGTACTATCTGTGCTGAATTAAATGGATCTAGCCAGCTTGTGGCTGGGGATGAATGAAGGGCCTCGGACTAGCAGGACTGGGGCTCCCCACTGACTATGGGACCCAGGGCCTGGTGGGCCTGAGCAGTCTTGCGTGGTGGTCTTGGGGACCTGAAGGAAGGGGCTTGTGGGGGACAGGGAGCCCCATCTCACCTCACCCCCCAGTGTCTTCGTGAAGAGGGATGTCAGCCTCTAGCAGACCAGTATCCTAAGTATCTGGGTGGTAGTGGCTGGCAGAGGGGGTCACTCATGTGGGAATGATGGGTCCAATCTATGATGCTGGGGTTCCTTGGAGAAAAGAATTCAGGAGACACTTTGAACTGTAGCGTCTGAAGGAAAAGGGGAGGTTGGTGGTACGCTGGGTTATCACTGATGAGCTCAAGAGGAGAAGCCTCATCTCTGCCAATAACTGGTCAGAGTGCTTGCTCTGCCACGGTCCTCCAAGGTACATACATACATAGGGCTAAGTCCTGGTGGTGAGGCAGGCTTCTGCCCCTGGGGAGAGAGGTAAGATTTAAGGCAGCCCAACATTTTTATTTATACAGGTACAGGTAGACCTTAGTTTACACAGCACTAGGTTCCTAAGAATTACTATGTGACTTGAATTCTTCTTTTTTCTTTTCTGTTTTTTTTTTTTTCTTTTTTGAGTCACTTTCTTTTTTTGTCACTCAGGCTGGAGTGCAGTGTTGTGATCTCAGCTCACTGCAACCTCTGCCTCCTGGGCTCAAGCGATTCTCCTGCCTCAGCCTCCCGAGTAGCTGGGATTACAGGCGCACACCACCACGCCTGGCTAATTTTTATATTTTTAGTAGAGACAGGGTTTCACCATGTTGGGAAAGCTGGTCTCAAACTCCTGGCCTTAGGTGATCCACCTGCCTTGGCCTCCCAAAGTGCTGGGATTACAGGCATGAGCCACCATGCCCGGCTGGTCCATTCCTTCTTCAGTGGACATTTGGGTGGTTGCTTCTACCTTTTGGCTATTGTGGATAATGCTGCTATGAACATGAGCAGACACATATCTCTTTGAGGCCCTGCTTTGAGGAACTGCTGTGTCCTATGGTGATGCTAGGTTTAATTTTTTGAGAAATCGTCCTTCTGTTTTCCACAGCAGCTGGACCATTTTACATTCCCACCAACAGTGAACAAGGGTTCCGTTATCTTCACTTCCTTGCCAGAACTTTTTGTTTTTAGCACTTTTTTTTTTCTGTATTTTTGGTAGAGACGAGGTTTCACTATGTTGGCCAGGCTGGTCTTGAACTCCTGGCCTCAAGCAATCCACCTGCCTCGGCCTCCCAGAGTGCTGGGATTACAGGCATGAGCCACTGCGCCCAGCCCCAATCTTCTCTGGAAACCTCTCTGAGAGTCCCTCCAGTGGACTCCACTCATGTCTCAGTGGCCAGAACACACCTCTAAACCAGACACAGCAGGGGGAATGGGATTAGCATTAATGGCCTAGCAACACCGACCTCTTCCCCTGGCCTGGAGAGAAGGTCAACCTCCCAGTCAGAGGAACAGCGGAGTAAGATTGGGGTTTGAGAGAATTCCAGTTCTTGCAGCTTGTGAGCGGTTTGACTTTGGAGGAGTGATTCAGCCACGCTGAGTCTCAATTCTGCAGCTCTAAAATATGGATAATATCTATATAGACTAGTATGAGGACTACATGAAAAAAATGCACATGAGAGGGCCTGGCTCATAGAAGGTGCTCACTTTTCCATTTCTTACAAGGTACCCAAGATGTGAAAAAGATCACAGGCTTCAAAGTAAGACTTGAGTTCATCTCCAGGCTCTTTGCTTTACCCAAGGCCAGTTATTTTCACTTCTGAATGAGGTTTATATGAGATGACGTAAAGGTGGGAAAGGTTCTCAGCAAATCCTGTTTTCCCTCCTTGGAGGCTCATACGCTTTACCAGAGAATTTGAGATGAAACGACCAAACAGGGAGATGTAGATGGGTCTGGGAAGAAGCTTCCCATGTCTGCTAACACAACTCCCCTCCCTCTCCAGCCTCCCTTATGTTCCTTTAAGCATGGGTGGCAGGTATCTGAGTCAGAAGCACCCAGGGAGTTGCTTGGCCTGGCCTGGTGGCTCATGACTGTAATCCCAGCACTTTGGGAGGCCAAGACAGGAGGATTACCTTGAGGCCAAGAGTTTGAGATCAGCCTAAGCAACAGTGAGACCCTGTCTCAAAAAATAATAATAATTAGCTGGGCACGGTAGTGCACACTTGTAGTCTCAGCTACTCAGGAGGCTGAGTTGGGAAGATTGCTTGAGTCAAGCAGGTTGACGTTATAGTGAGCTATGATCATGCCATTGCACTCCAGCAGCCTGGGAGATGCAGCAAGCCCCCATTTCCAAGAAAAGCATATTCCTGGGCTCCCTCCAGGCCTATTGACTCAGACTATTGGGGAGATAATGCCTATTGGAACCTGTGTTTTAAGAAGCTTCCCAGATGATTCTTAGGGATACAGTTTGGGGAACAGTTTGGAATGGGTAGGAATTGTAGGGGAATAGCCTCAGTGGACCACTGGCTAATTCTCTTCCGTCCCCCAGGCCCACCTCCTGGGAAAAGCAGGCCTTTTCCCAAGGCTGTGCCAAAAGTCTGCAAGCTGCCTGGGCACCTCTAGGCAGAACCAGTAGAAAGCGACTGTGGGGACCAGCAACATAGCAGGAAACTCAGATTCACAGAGGGGAAGTGTACTTGTTCACCTGTCAGGACTGGGACTATATCAGAAATTTCCTGTCTTCTATAACACCAGTAAATGGGGTTCTCCATGAAGCTAATGAAGTGCGAGCTCCACGGCCCTCACTGGCCAGGGCCCTAGAGTTCCAGGTGGGGAAGAGAAGCCTGGTGGCCATCAGGAAGGCTTTCCATGTGCACATTTCTGGTAAACTGCTTAAAGAGGTCCTAAAAACAAAACAAAGGGCGGGGCATGTTGGCTCGTGCTTGTAGTCCCAGCACTTTGGGAGGCTGAGGTGGGTGGATTGCTTGAGCCCGGGAGTTCAAGACCAGCCTGGGCAACATAGTAAAACTTCGCTTCTACAAAAAAATGCAAAAGTTAGCTGGGTGTGGTGGCACACACCTGTAGTCCCAGCTACTTGGGAGGCTGAGGTGGGAGAATCACCTCTGAGCCTGGGAAGTCGAGGCTGCTATGAGCTGAGATTGTGCCACTGCACTCCAGCGTGGGTGAGGGAGTGAGACCCTGTCTCAGAACAAAACAAAAGAAACTGAATGTCTGAGACTCCAGAAATTTGTTTTAATTTCTTTTCTCATTCTTAGACATGTATTGACTTTCATATTGTGTGAACTACAGACCATTCATCCTGCACACCAGTGATCTAAGATGATTATAAACTTAAGGCTGTTCCTTGCTCCCAAAATGCCCTTTTCTGAAGCAGCAAAGTGGGGAAGGGAAAGGCAACTCTGACACAGTGGCAGCTTCTAAGCATACTACCAAGCAAACCATCCCCAAAACAATTACCAATTATTGTGTGGTTTATAACAAGTAGAAGCAAAATATATGACAACAATTACACTATGAATGGGAGAGAGGAAACTGAAGTATACCATTTTAAGGCTCTAAAAATACACATGAAATATTAATAGTAAAATATTTGAATGTAGATAGTGGTAAACTAAACATGCATACTGTAAACTGTAAGCAACCACTAAAAAAACCCAACAAAGATACATAACCAATAAAGTAGATATAATAGAATACTAGAACATACTAAATCTAAAAGAAGGCGAGAAAAGAGGAACAAAAAACATAGAGGAAAAATTGTTAAAAAATAGTTGGTAGATTTAGACTCAATTGTATTGATAATCGCAGTCAATGTAAATGTCTAAGAACTCTAAGAGGCAGAGATTGGGCCAGGCGTGGTGGCTCATGCCTGTAATCCCAGCACTTTGGGAGGCTGAGGTGGGCGGGTCACTTGAGGTCAAGAGTTTGAGACCTGGCCAACATGGTGAAACCACGTCTCTACTAAAAATACAAAAAATTAGCCGGGCCTAGTGGACCGCGTCTGTAGTCCCAGCTTCTTGGGAGGCTGAGGCGTGAGAATTGCTTGAACTTGGGAGACGGAGGTTGCAGCGAGCTGAGATTACACCACTGTGTGTCAGGCTGGGTGACAGAGTAAAACTGTATCTCAAAAAAAAAAAAAAAAGATTGTCAGATTGAAATAAAAATGTAAGATCAAAATATGCTGTATTTAAAAAATGCACTTTATATATAATGATGTACACAGATTAAAAATGAAAGAATGGAAAAAAACTGAAAAAACACTAATCATAAGAAAGTTAGTGTCAGTATAGAAATATCAAAGTTGAGTTCGGAACAAGAAATATAGTCTAGGCGTGGTGGCTCACGCCTGTAATCCCAGCACTTTGGGAGGCCAGGGCGGGCAGAATATTTGAGGTCAGTAGTTTGAGTCCAGGCTAGACAACATGGTGAAACCTCGTCTTTACTAAAATACAAAAATTAGCCAGGCATGGTGGTGCATGCCTGTGATCCCAGCTACTTAGGAGGCTGAGGCAGAAGAATCGCTTGAACCCGGGCCTCAGAGGTTGCAGTGAGCCAAGATCACGCCACTGTACTCTAGCCTGGGCGACAGAGCAAGACTCCCTCTCAAAAAAAACAAATGAACAAAAAAACAAGAAATATAACCAAGGATAAAGTAGATTTTCATAATAAGTAAATGGTGAATTTGTCAAGAAGACATAATTCTAAATGTGTAGGCACCCAATAACAGAGATTCAAAACACATGAGGCAAAATTTGACAAAAACTCAAAATGCTGAAAATACTCCTTTTAAGATCAAAGTAGGCTGGGCGCGGTGGCTCATGCCTGTAATCCCAGCACTTTGGGAGGCCAAGGCGGGCGGATCAACTGAGATCAGGAGTTTGAGAATAGCCTAGCCAACATGGTGAAACTCTGTCTCTACTAAAAATACAAAAATTAGCCAGGCTTGGGGGTGGTGGTGTGTGACTGTAATCCCAGTTACTCAGTTACTCAAGCAGGAGAATCGCTTGAACCTGGGAGGTGGAGGTTGCAGTGAACCAAGATTGTGCCACTGTACTCCATCCTGGGCGACAGAGGGAGACGCTGTCCCAAACCTCCCCCCGGCCGCCTACCAAAAAATAAAAAATCTAGGCAACATTGTTTGGGAGGTCTTGGTCAAAGGCGTACACAAATTCTTTTTAAAGTTATATGGATTTGGGAGGAAGAAACAGAATTGTCATTTGCAGATGATACAACTAAGTAGAAAACTGCAAAGAATCTCAGATATGCTACTAGAACTAACAAGACAGCTTAGCAAGATCGTTAGATAAAACTCTGTCTATAAAAGTCAATTGCAACCACAGACTGGGAGAAAATATTTGCAAAACACATATCTGATAAAGGACTTGTGCCAAAATATACAAAGAACTCTTGAAACTCAAGAAAACAAACAGCCCAATTAAAAAGTAGGCAAAAGATCTGAATAGACACCTTGTTAAAGAAGATAACACAGATGGCAAATAAGCATATAAAAAGATGCTTAGTATCATATGTCCTTAGGGAATTGCAAAATAAACCCACTACTCACTTATTAGAATGAATAAAGTCCAAAACATTGAGAACACCAAATGCTGGCAAGGCTGCCAAGCAACAGGAACTGTCATTCGTTGATTTTGCATTTTGGGAATGCCAAATGGTATAGCTACTTTGGAAGACATTCTGGCAGTTTCTTATAAAACATGTTTAGTTTAATATGGTAAATTTATGTTTAAATTTTACTATACGATCCATCAATCATGCTCCTTGGTATTTACCCAAATGAGATGAAAACTTAAGTTCACACAACAATCTGCACATGAATTTTTTTTTTTTTTGAGATGGAGTCTTGCTCTGTCACACAGGCTGGAGTGAAGTGGTGCAATCTCGCCTCTTGGGTTCAAGCAGTTCTCCTGCCTCAGCCTACTGTGTAGCTGGGATTTTAGGTGCCCCGCAACCACACGTGGCTAATTTTTTTGTATTTCTCGTGGAGATGGGGTTTCACCATGTTGGCCAGGCTGGTCTTGAACTTCTGACTTCAAGTGATCTGCCCGCCTCAGCCTCCCAAAATGTTGGGATTACAGGCGTGACCCCCCCACTGCCCAGTCCTGCACATAAATATTTACAGCAGTTTTATTCATAGCTGCAAAAACTGGGAAGCAACCGAGATGTTCTTCTTCAGCAGGTGAATTGATAAAATGTGGTCCACATCCATATAATGGAATATCATCCAGTGACAAGAGAAATGAGCTGTCAAGCCACAAGACAAAGAGGAGCCATAAATGCATATTGTTGAGTGAAAAAAGCTAGTTCGAAAAGGCTACATACTCTTTGATTCAAACAATATGACATTCTGGAAACGGCAAACCTGTAACAGTAAAAAGATCAGTGGTTGCCGGGGTTGAAAATTGGGAAGGGATGAATGGGTGGAGCACGGGTGGTTTCTGGGGCAGTGAAACTACTCTATCATTTGTCATGTAGATATATGAACTATGCATTTGGCAAAATCCACAGAACCGTACAGCACAAACAGTGAACCCTAATGTAAACAATGGGACTTTAGTGAATAATAATGTGTGTGTGTGTGTGTGTATGTGTATATGTGTGTGTGTGTGTGTATATATTTGAGATGGAGTCTGGCTCTGTCGCCAGGCTGGAGTGCAATGGCACGATCTTGGCTCACTGCAACCTCTGCCTCCCGGGCTCAAGTGATTCTCCTGCCTCAGCCTCCCAAGTAGCTGGGACTAGAGGTGCGCACCACCATGCCCAGCTAATTTTTGTATTTTTAGTAGAGATGGGGTTTCACCATGTTGGCCAGGATGGTCTTGATCTCTTGACCTTGTGATCCGCCCTCCTCGGCCTCCCAAAGTGTTGGGATTACAGGCGTGAGCCACCGCGCCAAGCCATAATAATGTATTAATATTGATTCATCAATTAACAAATGTACTGCACTAATGCAAGATGTTAATAATAGAGAAACTGTGGGGAAGAGTGGTACGTGGGAACTCTCTGTATTATGTGCCCAATTTTTCTGTAAACCTAAATCTGCTCTAAAAAGTAGTATATTATTTTAAAAAGTCAATTGCATTTTTACATATGAGAAACAATGGATCAGAAAATATAAGAAATAAAAGATACTATTTATATTAGCAACAACAAAAAATGTAAGGATCCTAGGAATAAATCTAACAAAATACATGAAAACCCTTTATGGAGAAAGCTATAAAACTTTATTGAAAAACATTAAATATCAGTTCACATGGAGTGATATATATCTTTTTTTTTTTTGAGATGGAATTTCGCTCCTGTTACCCAGGCTGGAGTGCAATGGTGCTATCTCGGCTCACTGCAACCTCTGCCTCCTGGTTTCAAGCGATTCTCCTGTCTCAGCCTCCTGAGTAGCTGGGACCGCAGGTGCCCACCACCATGCTGGGCTAATTTTTGTATTTTTAGTAGAGACAGGGTTTCACCATGTAGGCCAGGCTGGTCTCAAACTGCTGACCTCAAGTGATCCACCCACCTCGGCCTCCCAAACTGCTGGGATTACATGCGTGAGCCACCGTGCCTGGCCAGAGTGATATATATCATGATCTTGGTAAAGACTCAATATCAGGCTGGGTGTGGTGGCTTATGCTTGTAATCCCAGCACTTTGGGAGGCTGAGGTGGGAGGATAGTTTGAGCCCGGGAATTCCTTCAAGACCAGCCTGGGCAAAAGAGTGAGACTCTGCCTCTACCATAATTAAAAACTGAAAAATATAAGGATGTTGATTCACTACAAGTTGATACATATATTCTTGGCCAGGCATGGTGGCTCATGTCTGTAATCCCAGCACTTTGTGAGCCTGAGGCAGGCAGATGACTTGAGGTCAGGAGTTTGAGACCAGCTTGCCCAACATAGTGAAATCCCATCTCTACTAAAAATACAAAAATTAGCCCGGCATGGTGGCAGGCGCCTGTAATCCCAGCTACTTGGGAGGCTGAGGCAGTAGAATCACTTGAGCCCAGGATGTGGAGGTGGCAGAAAGCCGTGATCGCACCACTGCATTCCAGCTTGGGTGACAGAGTGAAACTTCATCTCAAACAAGCAAACAAACAGAAAAACCAAAGTTGATATATATATGTATATATGTGTGTATATAGATATATATATATATACACACATACATATATATATACACACACACACACACCAGAATTCCAATATGTGTACACATGTGGGTGTTTTACTTGAAAAGCTGATTCTAAATTTATATGGAAGAGTAAAAGGCCAAAAAATAGCACGTAATAACTCCTGAATAAGGTAGGAGAACTTGCTCTACCACATAGTAAAACTTATAAACCTTCAGTAATTAAGATAGTGTGTCATTGGTCTGGAGAGAGTATTTAAATAGACTGATGGACCTACAGAGTCCAGAAACAGAGTCAAATATATATGGAAACTTGACTAATGGAAAAGTAGGAATTGTAGAACAGTGGCTAAAGGACAGACTATCCAGTGTATTGCGTTAGGACAAATAGTTATTCATACGAAAAAATTACATTGGCTCCCTACTTCACACACACACACACAATCAATTGTGGTTGAATTAAAGACCAATGCAAAAGACAAAATACTTAGAAAAAAATATAGGAGGGTCAGGCACCATCGCTCATGCCTGTAATCCTAGCACTTTGGGAGGCCAAGCAGGAGGATTGCTTTGAGGCCAAGAGTTCAAGACCAACCTGGCTAACAGAGCAAGACCCTGTCTCTTAAAATAAAAAAAAAAGAATATCTTTATGATTTAGAGGGAGAAACATCTCTTAAGATACAAGAATTATTTACTATAGAGAAAACTATTGATATATATATATTTTTTAAATTTTATTTTAAGTTCTGGGATACATGTGCAGAATGTGCAGGTTTGTTACATAGGTATACATGTGCCATGGTGGTTTGCTGCACCTATTAACCCATCTAGGTTTTAAGCCCTGCATGCATTAGGTATTTGTCCTAATGCTCTCCCTCCCCTTGCCCCCAACAGGCGCTAGTGTGTGATGTTCCCCTCCCTGTGTCCATGTGTTCTTATTGTTCAATTCCCACTTATGAGTGAGAACATGTGGTGTTTGGTTTTCTGCTCCTGTGTTAGTTTGCTGAGAATGATGGCTTCCAGCTTCATCTATGTCCCTGCAAAGGACATGAACTCATTCTTTTTTATGGCTGTAAAACTATTGATATTTTCGACTGCATTAAAATGGGCTTCTGTTTCTCAAAACACCTTATAGACAGTGAACAGACAAGTTTCAAACCGGGAGAAAATATTTGCAACTACAGAACTGTCAAAGATTAGTAGTCAAGATATGTGAAGAGACCCTGCAAATAAGAAGTAATAAATAATCCAGTAGAAAAAGGGACAAAAGCCTGGGTGAGGAGGCTTACGCCTGTAATCCCAGCACTTTGGGAAGCTGAGGCAGGTGGATCACTTGAGGTCAGGAGTTGGAGACCAGCCTGGCCAACATGGCGAAACCCCGTCTGTACTAAAAATACAAAAATTAGCCAGGTGTGGTGGCGGGCGCATGTAGTCCCAGCTACTCAGGAGGCTGAAGCAGGAGAATTGCTTGAACACGGGAGGCAGAGATTGCAGTGAGCCGAGATTGTACCACTGCACTCCAGTCTTGGCGACAGAGCAAGACTCTGTCTCAAAAATAAATAAATAAAATAAATAAATTAAATAAATAAATGGGCAAAAGATAAGACAAACGTTTCACAGAAAAAGAAAACTTAAATGGCCCAGAAACATATAAAGAGTCTAAACCTTATTAATAATCAGGAAAATGTAAATCAGAAACACAGCTAGATGCCAGTTTAATACCTACCAGATTGGCAAACATTAAAGACTTGGTCAGCATCAAGTGGCAAGGATATGGAGTAATGGAGACTAAAAGTTTCTGCTGGTAGGGGTGTCAAGTGTTACAGCCACTTTGGAAAATAGTTTTGATTGATGCTATGAAGCAGGAACTGTCAGATGATCTTTTAAATAATATATCTGGCAGGGTGTCAAGGGCTTTGATTTTTTCATCATGCACGTAGAAGAAAAGTGCACAGTCTTCTGATCTTTTCTTTCCTTCCTGTCTCCCTCCCTCCCTCCCTTTCTTTCTTTTTTCTTTTTTCTGGAGATGGAGTCTCACTCTATTGCCCAGGCTGGAGTGCAGTAGAGCGATCTCGGCTCACTGCAACCTCCACCTTGTGGGTTCAAGCAATTCTCCAGCCTCAGCCTCCTGAGTAGCTGGGACTACAGGTGTGCGCCACCATGCCCGGCTGTTTTTTGTATTTTTTTGGTAGAGACGGGGTTTCACCATGTTGGCCAGGCTGGTCTCAAACTCCTGACCTCGTGATCCATCCTCCTCGGCCTCCCAAAGTGCTGGGATTACAGGTGCGACCCACCGCGCCTGGCCTCATCTGTCTTTCAAGTGTGTGTAACTTTTAGGAATATGAAGATGTCATTTACAACATTATAACCAAGACAGCAAATTATCAAGACAAGCAGGCAGATAGAGGTTCTTTTTGGAGGTTATTTTCGCATGGTGGTTATTTGCACAAATATTTTTATTTATCAATTTATTTCCTAGAGTTGTAGGATTCTAACAAGACCCTGTTGCTCAAACAGAGTTGCAAATAGTGATGAATATACACATACATATCCACTCTTCATAGAACAAGACAGTTTTTATTTGAAAGTTCTTAACCAAATCAATCAGATTCTTTAGACCACTTTTGTGATACCGAGTGTCATCTTTCCCAGTGGCTGTGTGGGTGTCGAGCACCAGTTTTGATCTCTTTGACTCTTTTAGTTAATTGTAAAAAATATTTTGAAGGCCAGGCTCTAGAATTTCATTATACGACATTAGAAAAGAATAACTAGCTTGTGGAGCTGTTTGATTAGAAGATGGAGAGAGGGCTGAGTAAGACTTCATTTAATAAAAGTATAATGTCTTTTTTTCCACTTTAATAAAATTAAACCTGCACTTTCCTTACCATCTACCAATCCCATGTCTAGAGAAATCATTACATCTGCAGCAGGAGGTATGCATGATAATGTTCATAGGAGCATTGGTCATAATAGCAATAAAAACTGGCAATAGTCCAAATATCCGTTAGAGGTAGAATGTATGCATAAAATTGTGGCATATTAGTCCAACAGAAAACCACACAGGCCGGGCGCAGTGGCTCACGCCTGTAATCCCAGCACTTTGGGAGGCCGAGGCAGATGGATTACCTGAGTTCAGGAGTTCAGGACCAGCCTGACGAAAATGGTGAAATCCCGTCTCTACTAAAACTACAGAAATTAGCCAGGCGTGGTAGCGTGCACCTATAATCCCAGCTACTCGGGAGGCTGAGACGGGAGAATCGCTTGAACCTGGGAGGCGGAGGTTGCAGTGAGCTGAGGTCGAGCCACTGCACTCCATCCAGCCTGGGCAACGAGAGCGAAACTCTGTCTCAAAAAAACAAACAAACAAAAAACAAGAAAAACCCCACTATGTAGCAGTGAAAATGAATGAACTACAACTATACATATAATATGCATGAATTATAAAAATAATGTAAAAATTTAAAAAATAACTGAAATTTATGATTCCATTTCTATAAAGTTCAAAATAGGCAAAACCAAATCATATAGTATTGTCCAGGGATGCATATGTAGGCAGCAAAGGAACGATTACACAAAACTAGGATTGTGGTTACCCTTCCAGTGGGGGGAAGAGGAAGTGGCTGGGGAAGCCTACATGTGCTGCTGATGTTCTAGTTTGTATGCTGAATGGTTGTTCAGGGAGGTGTTCGTTTTATCACTTTTTAAATTGTACATATACTGGCCGGGCACAGCGGCTCATTCCTGTAATCCCAGCGCTTTGGGAGGCTGAGGCGGGCGGATCACCTGAGGTCAGGAGTTCGAGACCAGTTTGGCCAATATGGTGAAGCCCCGTCTCTACTAAAAAAAACAAAATTAGCTGGGTGTGGTAGCACGCGCCTGTAATCCCAGCTACTCGGGAGGCTGAGGCTGAGGAGAATTGCTTGAACCCAGGGGGCGGGGGTTGCAGTGAGCCAAGATTGTGCCATTGCACTCCAGACTGGGCAACAGAGTGAGACTCCGTCTTAAATAAAGAAACCAACCAACCAACATATACATTCTCTTGCATACATATTTCACAAGGCGTTATTTATTTATTTATAGAGACGGGCACAAATTCAGGTGAGCTTGTAGATTGGGAGATTGCCTAAATTGTCTCTGTATTTTCACTGAAGCGTAAAGCGAGGTTCTCAGCTGAAATGTGCGGGGAACGTGTGGGAGAGGTGAAGACGGAAGCTATGAGTGTCATCCAGGAGAGCAGAGGAGCAGGCTGACAAGGGACTATAGTAAACCATGGCGTGGTGTCATGTCCCCATGTGAGGTTTGTGGACAGGATGAGTAAACTGTAATCAGTCAGCCTAGTTGTGTGGTTTTTCTTCAGCAGCATTCAGCTCATCAGGCGCAGATGCAGAGAGGTCTCAGAACAGTACAGGGTTTGCCAGGCTATTAAAATGGAGAAAGGGGCATAGATCTAGAGGGTACTGAGAAGGAAATGATTGAATTATTGGCCATGGAATTTAGGCTGAGTGAAAGGAGAAACGAAGATGGGAGGGAGGTGATGTTAGGATTGATGGATTTGGGATCTTGATAAGTTGAAGACTTTTGGAATGTAGGGTACTAGCATGAGCTGGGAAGTTCATGGTTAGTGATGGTTAAAATTAAGATTTTTAGAAGTGGTTTAGAATGTTACTAGTGATGGGCCGGGCGCGGTGGCTCACGCCTGTAATCCCAGCATTTTGGGAGGCCGAGGCGGGCGGCTCACCTGAGGTCAGGAGTTCAATACCAGCCTGACTAACATGGTGAAACCCTGTCTCTACTAAAAATACAAAAATTAGCCGGGCATAGTGGCGGGTGCCTGTAATCCCAGCTACTAGGTAGGCTGAGGCAGGGGAATAGCTTCGACCTTGGAGGTGGAGGTTGCAGTGAGCTGAGATTGCACCATTGCACTCCAGCCTGGGCAACAGAGCAAGACTCCGTCTCAAAAAAAAAAAAAAAAAAAGAATGTTACTAATGATGAAAAGTTGAAGCCTTCAAAGAATGGCTGACATGAGATCAAGACATTGAATGGTTCTCAACTGAGGTCAGGCCTGCCAATCCCCTGCGGGATGAAATGTGGGGGATGCACAAGGACACGGGATGTTGCAGACTGTGGAGGGGGTAAAAGGCTGGTAACGTGCAGGGAGGGTGCAGAGATGCCATTAGGCTCATATTGCGGAGGATTGCCTAGCACGAGAATTGTCTTGCCCCAAAGGACAGAGCCCCAGTTAAGAAACACTGGGCTAGGGTACCGGACAGATCACCTACATGAACGTAAGTGGAGAGTGATGACAGGGAAATGCTGGAGACAAAGACAGTATGAGCAGGAAGAGGGACAATGAAGGGGAGTAGCTGGTAGAACTGGCTAGCACAGGTTTCACTGGAGCTGGAGGTTTTGAAGGGAAGAGGAGAAATTATTTCGAAGCAGCAATTGGGAGACGGAGGGTACACTTAAGGAGAGAGATTCTCAAGGGACAGCCAGGTTTCGGGTAAAGCAGAAAGGTCAAGAAACATTTGAAAAAATGGAGTCTTGGGTCATTTGCCTGTCACAGATTGAGAGTTCCAGAGGGCACATTGGAAAGGGGGGACAGTAAGGATGAATAGGGGTGCTGGCCAGATAAGGGCGTGTAGAGTTGTTGGGGATGAGTCTGGGGATGAATGGCCTGGGGGGCTTGAGCTTTCAGTGATGACTCAAGTGAACAGGATGGCCGCCTGAAGCGCCTGGCCCTGGCGGTCTCTCACAGGAGGTTGGATCTCATTTGGACAATAGTCCAGAATCCTTAGTGCCTGGACCAGGGGCTTCTAGGTAACTACTCCCTGCAGCAACACCAGAGGGTTTAAGTTCATGGTTCATGTTTATTGGGGTGGGTAGTCCTCGAATAATTTATATAGCTTGAGTCAAACCCAGTCAAAATTTAGAAAGTCTTACTGCACCTCTACTGAATTTTGGAGGGGAGTCACCTAGCAGGTCCTTCAGATAGTCACATGTCCAGGCTGCCTGACATTAACTCATCCGGGAACCACACAGAACTGCGTCTTATGAAATTCAGCAGTGCTTCTTAAACATGGATGTACTCATAAATCACCTGGGGATTTTGCTAAAATGCCAATTCTCATTTAGTAGACTCGGGGTGGGCAGATTTGCCGTTTCAGAGAAGTATATGCTTGCATGGAAAGAAGAGATGCTTTAGAATTGGCTGAGTTCAAATATGGGCCTTCCCTATGCCATCTGTGTGGTCTTGAGCTAAAAATCTCTCAACTGTCTTTATGTAAAGCAGGAATGATGTCATAGGCTGTTGTGAGAATTAAATAATGTGTGTAGTACTCAGCATGGGCCCAAGCACAAAGCAGAGGTAAAGATTTTCTTTTTTCTTTTTTGTCTTGTCCTCAAAACCCACAAAGTGACCTTCTGTGGATTATCAACTGCTTGCCAGGGGGTAATGCCAGGGTATTTCTGTGACACCCACTCACTGATCCTGGCAGAGGGAGAGGAAGGCATGAAAGTTTTCCTCAGTCTTTTTTTATACCTGAGTCTTGTGGCCTGGCTCCCATACATCTTATTCTGGTTTTTTGATCTGAAAATCCCAGCCCCACTGAAGTGGATATTCACTGGCCACATAGACTGAGAGTGCTAGGTAGACCAAATTGCTTTTCTTAGTCTGATTTATTCTTTACTCCCCTATCAAATGCATATTCTTCCGGTGGAGTAAAGCAGGCCTCATTCACTCCACTCCACTCCACTTTGAGGAGCCTCATGGGTGGGACTTCAGACGTACCTGAAGGCTGCCCAGGTATAAATCCCACAGATCACCTAGAAGTTTGGGGTGTGAAGGAAACAGTCTGGTAGCCAGTGGCTTTGGTAGAACCAGGCAACTGTAACTAAGGGAGGGGGTCCGGTGTCAGGGAAGTGCTCAAAGATGGGGGTTCTACTCCAGCCCTCACCAGTATGGGACTGATTCATTCTCTGTTGGGACCATGACACCTTCCCAGATCAGGGCAGGGCCCCAGAATACAGATGGGCTCATCTACTCTCAGGAGAATGAATGCCTTCCTGAGCATGGTGAGAGGAGGCTCTTCTCTCCTTCCCCTCTTGGCTTTGACAGGAAGGAACGACCAAGGGGCAGGTATGAGAGGCCTCAGCAATGCTCTGGGCTTTGAATCCATAAGGAAGTAAGTAGCTGTCTGCCACTGATTTACTTCCTGGAAAGTATAGCAAGAAGCTGTTAACCTTTATTAGCACTGACTTCTGCACAGTTATTATAGAACAAGGTCAATATCTGGGTGATCAGAACTTCAGGAGCAGGTAATGAAAAACACACAACAAAAGACCACTGTCCTCCAGATACTTGGCCTTCTTTCTCCAAGCAAGATCCTGAAATTGCTTTACCAGATTTGAATTTGTAACCTCCTTGTTATAGTCTATTAGGAACCTGTGTTAGCCTGGGGGAAGAGCTCCCTTTGTTTCTTGTTCTGGAGGCCAGAACAAGTAAGTTGTACATAGATCATTCTTGCTTAGAGTGGACAGGCATTGACAGGTCACAAAAGGCTGGTATTCATTTATTTAACAATAGTTAATTCAAGAGAAATTTTTGAATTAGTAGAGGAAAATATTGCTCCACAGTGTGCAAAAAGGCCAGTGGAGGAGAAAGGGGAAGGGGCAGGTTGGAGGTGCCAAGCATTGGAGAACAGGTCCGTAGGAAATGAGCTCATTCTCTCAGGCTCCTGCTTGCTTTGCTGCTTCAAGACAAGGGACAGTGTGTGCATAAGTCGGGGCTATTCCTCTGCAGGTCTGTTCCCTGCACTCTGGGGGAGGAGTCCGTTCTAGCTTGCCCCTCTGCCTCCATTCCCCAGAAGTCAGGGCTGGCACCCCTCCCTGTGAGCAGGTGTGGCTATGCTATCTGACAGCTAAGGCACTGGGCCCACAGATCTGCGCTCAAGATCAATGCAGGTGAATAAAGGTACATGTGCATGTGAGAGGAAGAAAGGATGGAGGGGCTGGCCGTCATGTTCCTGCCGAGCACACGGGATGCTTGGGTTTTAAAAATATACCTCCCCACCCCGCCCAACACAAATACACAACAGTTATAATCTGAAAGAAAGCACTATAAAACATTTCTTATAAAAGTATTTTTTAATAAATCAATGTATTTCAATGTTGTAACATGATAGCCCAATGCTATATCAAGGTAGCAAAAGTGAAGATTCCTGGTATTTTGATATAAACACTATGAATGACAGTACACTTGCATTCAACTTCACAAGAAATTATCTTCAGGTCCATGAAGATTCTTTGACAGCTGTAACACTTTTCAAACAGTAAAGATGTACATGTATTGAAAGAGAAGACAACGAAAGCCTACTAACTGATCTGGGCTCTAAACCATACTGAAGAGAAAGAGATACAATGGTTGTATGGCTAGCTTGCTGAAAAAACATCTAAATCTTTTAAAGAAAGAAAATACAGCATATATCAAAGTTACAGAGTAGCTTACAGAAATGGAGTCATAAGGAGACACACAGATTAGAACCCTGAAGCAGTGAATGTGTTTCTACCCGTTTTGTGATGGAAAGAAGCCATGGATATCGAGTCCTGCAGCTGTCTGTGGTGTTGAATCTCCTCATACACACAATGCTACCAATGGACTAAAACCAGAATTCCCTGCTCTGTACAAATGCTGGTGATGGGTAACTTGCTCTATTGCTGTGGGTCAGAGCAACAGCTGGCTGGATTCAGGCATCAGGACGAGGCTAAGATCATACACCACTGCCTTCTACACTCCTACAGAGTCACACTTTCCAAAGCTGATGCTCCCCTTGTAAGGGTTTAAAAAAAAACCCCAAGGGTATTTAAAGCAAACAGCAGAAACCAGAAGCTTCTGACCCTCTAACATGTATTACTGTCCAACCCACCATGAGAAGTATGTTCACTTGGTGACAACAAAGAGACTCCGTATCATATGTATGTTAATGACCAGATTGTTCATATGGGATTTTTCTTAACAGATTATCAGGTTGAGAATGATTCTTTTTCTCCAAGGGCAAGAAAAAGCTGGCTAAATGCTAGTTAATTAAATCCATTCTCAATTTTGAACTGTAGAGAAGAACCTGACTTGAATGAGATTTTCTAAAGGAAGACATTTCTTGCTCAACCTCAGGTATAATTAGATTATAAGGAATCTCACGTCCAGAATTTTATCTGCTGATTGTTAGTATGGTAGGTAATTGGCCTTAGGACACTATTTCTACTAGAACCCTTTACATTATTTTTAAACTCCAAATGCTGCAGATGAAAGTAAATACAACAAATGCAAGTAAATACAACAAAATAACAATAAAATCACTTGTGTGCTGACTTGCTGGATTCTGGTTAAGCACAGATGGGATGTTCCTGATATTCACTAAGAAGAGTCTAACTAATGGCTACTGTGTGTGTGTCAGTAGCCCAGGTTTAAATCATATATACTTGAATGAATTAGAAAACACTGTACTCCTCACATTATTAAAAATATTACAAGCAAACTGTATCCAAGGCTTTGTACTAACCGTCTGGGGACAGGACTCTCTCTTTTTAGTGAACAAGTCACTGCTAGAGCCTTAGTGTTTTGCCCTCATTTTTAGACCTGAACCAAGTCGACATCTCATTAAGTTCATATATTCCTTTCTTCTGTCAAACCTCTTGAAACAAGCCTTCTGCCCCTAAAGAACTGAGAGTAATTTGTAAAGGCTTTCCTCTCTGGAAACAGAACAGTCGAAAGCATAAATTAGGTTAAGTGGCTTCATTGTCCTCAGGCTAATGCTTATAACCCAAGGTTTATTTTCCCTATGAACAGGGTGTGCTTACGTTGATAAAATGAACCAAAATCAGCTTATGGAAAAGTTAAAAATACAGTTTACTGAAAGATTATGTATCCTCACACAGAGCAATAGCAAACAATCCAATCTAAAAGTTTAAATAAATGTCAATAATTTTAAAACTAACTATATTTTATATGTATATAAAGCTGAAGTCACTGCCTTGGATAGTGTTACACTGCATCCAATATTTTATGAAGGACATTCATTCTTAAGGCAGAAAAATTGAATTTGACATGTAATGACTTGGTTCTTACATCCAAGGATCAAACTAGGAGTAGACTGGAGCAGACAGATTCCTTGCTAACAAGGATTTACCTGTGGTGACAGTTTCATTCTTAGAGTATGTTACGTAAGAGACATACATTTGAGAGAACATATAAATATGAATCTTAAGACACACAAATATGATTTTTTAACGATTGGTCAATGAGACTAGGCATTCTATTATGTGAAATGAGTCCCATGACAAACGCCAACATACTCTTTCTGACATGGTACATAAAAAGTATAAAATATCAAAGAACTACTTTTTTGGGGTAGACATTAGATTCTAGTTTTCAAGGTTTAGTATAAAAGGTAGCCTGAATAGTTAAAAGCAGCTGAATGTCAACTCACTGCTACTTGGAAGGCTACCACTTAGGATATTCCCACACCATCAAAATCCTGTGCAAGGAGGAAATACATGTGTATTAAAATAAAAATGAAGCGCCTCCCCCAATACATGTGCAACATACTTGTCAGTTACTACCAAGAATATCTTGAACGAAAACCAGCTAAACTATAGAATGAGTGGCATCAAAGTCAGAGAGACGTAAGAACATACCACCCCGCCTAGGTGGACGGATATTTGGGATGAAAGCAGGTGTTCCATGGGCACCTGGGGAGATGTGCTACTCAGAGTGGAAGGGGGTGTGAAGAGGAACTGGACCCAGGGTTCCAAGCCCTCAGGGCTGTGTGCTCCTTCACCTCAGGCCAGTCTGATTCTCTGCATCCTGGTGCCAACAACTTTAACAAAACAAACACAAATCTAAAAGACCATTCTGAAGCAGGTGATGGTGACTATAACTGTTTAAGTACCTTTTTGTGTGCCTATTTATGCCATAGATCTGGCAATTGTCAGAAGTATACAAAGATTACCTGCCTAATTTTTGAAGACATGAAGATTTTCTTCTTTCACTGTGGCAGGAGTCCATGCAAGATTTGTAAACAGCGATACAAGATACTGTAAACATAACTTAACAGAGCTTGTATAAAACAGAAGAAATAAATCCAGATTTACGAGTGGATAAAAAAAACAGAGGGCAGCTTCTTACAAAGTTCTCCCTCCTGCGCCAAGTGATTTTTTTTTTTTGATTACAAATATAATCCTGAGCTGAAAAACTGGGATTTGGGGGAGAGCCATCTTTGCATACAAAATATCTAAAGGATGCTTCTCTGTTTACTTTTCTCTAGTGATATTCGACTGCCAGAGACAGTTCTGAATGTGTGACTTTGGAGACATTTATAGTTTAGTGTGGCGCCCGGGTCTGGAGCCTGCTGCAGTGCTTGCCACGGAAGCGGATGCGGCAGCATCCTCTGCTTCCTCCAGTTCATCCTGGAGTTCTTGGCTGACACTAGACTGCAGGGCTGCGGGCGTGAGCCACTCCTTCGGGAGGCAACTCTGTAGAAAGGGTATACAGGAGCTGAAGTAGGCAAGTCGATTGATCCAGCGAGGAATCTCTTTCCCACAAAGAATCTACAGAAGAGAAAGAGTTCTGTATTAGGTAAGAGAGGTTAAGATTACCTGGTCCACTGCCAGGGAGTGGAGGGTGGGAGGAGGGGGGCGGCGTACAGAGAAGCCACGGCAGACTAGCCTTCAGTGGTGTCACTCCAGGCTTTTGATAACAAGCAGCTCTTTACTCAGGACCTGGGCTCCCTACTGTTGGCTCCATTCCTTCCTTTCTAAAGAACCTTGTCAAGTTGCTTACTTTTCATATCTGTGAAATCAAGCTAATTTCACTTGGCTCCTTTCTTTGATCTCTGCAACTGCTGTGAGACACACTGAAAAGTACTTTGAACACACAGAAGACGCTTGTTAATACAATATATTATTAGAGTAATAGAAGCCCCAGGCAATTGGAAGAGTCAATCTTGGATATTTTCCTATTTGTGAATTCTTCTTTTTCACAGATTCTTTTTGACTTTCCCCTTTTCTCCAGTGTCTATCACTCCATTTCTCCTGGTCTACATTTTACCCCTTTACTTCTCTCCCTGACCCACTTGTTTCAAGGGGCTCATCCTGGTCCAGAAAAAACAGCCTGGGTGATAAGAGTGTCTCAAATTAAAAAAGTGTGGGCCAGGCGCGGTGGCTCACACCTGTAATACCAGCACTTTGGGAGGCTGAGGCCGGTGAATTACGAGGTCAGGAGTTCGAGACCAGCCTGGCCAGTATGGTGAAACCCTGTCTCTACCAAAAATACAAAAAATTAGCCGGGCATGGTGGTGCACACCTGTATTCCCAGATACTCGGGAGGCTGGGGCAGGAGAATCACCTGAACCCGGGAGGCGGAGGTTGCAGTGAGCTGACATCACGCCACTGCACTCCAGCCTAGGCAACAGAGTGAGACTCCGTCTCACACACACACAAAGTGTTTTCCCAGATGACGACCTGGCTCTGTGACTCCTCTGCAGAAGTAGGCCTAGAGTCAGACAAGGCATGGAAGCCTGGCCATGCTTCAGTCTGAAGACACTAGCGGGATAGAATACAAGTGCCAGGAGGAATCCCTGCCCGCTGATGATCTGCTGCTTCTATAGTTGCCCACTTCCTGTCCTTATACTGTCCTTAGGACTCTTGAACCCTTCCCCCCGCTCCTATTTCAAATAGTAAGAACTGGGTCTATTCTGTGCCCCTAACTTTATTCTTTATTATCCTTTTTCTCTTGTGCAGACAATGGACTGGGCTGCCGTTCATGCCCCACTGCCACTTTGTTGTTTTTGCCTCCAATTATACCAAAGATTATGATCATGTGATCTCCAAGTACCATCTTAGATATTTGCATATCTTAGGTAATAACTTTGGAAAGGGGTTTCACAGTACCTTATGTCTAAAAATTAGCTAAAATTTAATAAGTTGGCACCTATAATTATACAACGTGTACCTTTTCTCCCTAAAAGTTTAGCCCTACCTCTTAATGCTTATTACATTTATTTTAAATAGTATGTCTCTATCTTAACTATAGGGAAAGTCAGATGGTCTCACTTGAGGGAAGGTAGCATGTGCTAACCACTTTTGATTACCAAGCACCTATCACACTGCCTGTGAGTACAGAGAGGTAGACACTTAAAAATATTTCGGCCCAGCGCGGTGGCTCACACCTGTAATTCCCAGCACTTTGGGAGGCCGAGGCGGGCAGATCATGAGGTCAGGAGATCGAGACCATCCTGGCTAACACAGTGAAACCCCATCTCTACTAAACATACAAAAAATTAGCTAGGCGTGGTGGCGGGCACCTGTAGTCCCAGCTACTCGGGAGGCTGAGGCAGGAGAATGGCGTGAATCTGGGAGGCGGAGCTTGCAGTGAGCCGAGATCGCACCACTGCACTCCAGCCGGGGCAACAGAGCAAGACTCTGTCTCAAAAAAAAAAAAAAAAGTGTACATGAGGCCAGGCATGGTGGCTCATGCCTGTAATCTCTGTACTTTGGAAGTCCAAGGCAGGAGGATTACTTGAGACCAGGAGTTCAAGACCACCCTGGGCAACATAGTAAGACCTTGTTTACACACACACAAATTTGCTGGGTATGGTGGTGTGTGCCTGTAGCCTCAGCTACTTGGGAGGCTAGGGCAGGGGGATTGCCTGGGCCCAGGAGGTTGAAGCTGCAGAGAGCCAAGACTGTGCCACTGCACTACAGCCTGGATGACAAAGTGAGATTCCATCTCAAAAACAAAACAAACAAAAAAGAATGTATATGAACTACATCTGCTCTTAAAAACACTGCCAAACAGGCCGGGCAGGTGAGGTGGTATCTTATGCCTGTAATCCCAGCACTTTGGGAGGCAGAGGTAGGTGGATCACTTGAGGTCAGCAGTTCGAGACCAGCCTGGCCAACATAGTGAAACCTCATCTCTACTAAAAATACAAAAATTAGCCAGGTGTGGTGGCACACACCTGTAATCACAGCTACTCAGGAGGCTGAGGCAGGAGAATTGCTTGAACCCAGGAGGCAGAGGTGGCAGTGAGCTGAGATCGTGCCACTGCACTCCAGCCTGGGTGACAGAGCAAGACTTCGTCTCACCAAAAAAAAAAAAAAAAGCGCTGGCAAACAAATATTACATTGTACTTTACACCTGGGACATATTAGGGCTATCTGCCTATTTAGAGGTTAATCATGTAAGTCATGACTAAGACTATTTAGTTAATGTGATAGCGACTGTTGCCTATTCAACAGCCATTTCCCTCATTCTCCTTCCCAAGTCCTAATTTCATTCAGTAATCTACCCTCCTCCATATATCCATGTGCTACAGGTGAAGCTGACTTCATTCCAACCCCTGAGGGTGTGGCTTGATTAGCCTACAACAGAGTCCTATCTATAGCCACTTGGTTTTGTAGATAGTTTTACTGAAACACAGCCGTGTCTATTGGTTTATGTATCCCCTATACCTCTTAGGCTACAATGGCAGAGGCAGAGTTGGGACTATGAATAGTCCACAAGCCTAAAATATTTATTATCTGGCTCTTTCAAATAAAAGTGTACCAATCCTTGGTCAAGCCATTTATTTATTTATTTATTTATTTTTTGAGATGGAGTCTTGGTCTGTTACTGAGGCTGGAGTGCAGTGGCACAATCTGGGCTCGCTGCAATCTCCACCTGCCAGGTTCAGGCGATCCTCTTGCCTCAGCCTCCCGAGTAGATGGGATCATAGGCATGCACCACCACACCTGGCTAACTTTTGTATTTTTAGTAGAGACGGCGTTTCACCATGTTGGCCAGGCTGGTCTCAAACTCCTGACCTCAGGTGATCTGCCTGCCTCAGCCTCCCAAAGTGTCGGGATTACAGGCGTGAGCCACCGTGCCCAGCCAAGCCAATGTTTTTAAAACTTTGAGTCATGACCCATTAGTAGGTCACTTAGCATTGCTACCTGAATTTTTAAAACAAAACAGATTGGAGGTAGCGAGGTAACCATGACACATCTTAGTTACATGCCTGTGTGTGTGTAAACTGGGTCACAATGCAAAATGTATTTCTTAGGTGGCTAGTGATCAAATAGTATTTGGTTTATATAGCAAAATGAAATTTTGCATTTAAGCTCCAATCCAGCAATCCCTCTTCTAGAAAATCAAGCGTACACATATAGTGGTAAAAATAAAAAGATGTATGTACAGGGTTATTCATTACAACACTTTTTGTAACAGCAAAAGACTAAAATTAACCAAGTGCCATTAACAGGTTGAATAAATTATGGTACATCCACACAAGGAAGACTATTCAGCTAAAAAAAGAAGTGAGGAATATTTCTATATACTGTTACAGAATGTACTCCAGGATATACTATTAGTGAAAAAAGCAAAATGGAGAAAAGCATATATAGGATGCTCCCAAAATATAATAGTGGAACAGGCAGAGAATAAAATTTATAGACATTCCCGTTCCAAAAGGGAGAAAATGGAAGGAAGAAAGGAGTTACTAGTCCCAAACAATTCTGGACTCCAACATTAGGTTTCAAGGCCTGGGAATAATCTTCTATGGCCCTTGGCTCTGCCATCTGGAGATTCTATCCTCTGAATCATCCTTTTTCTCCGGCCAGTTACCTGCCTATAGAATTTTGACAGTCAAAGCATCTTCTTTAATTTTGTCCCCTCTCTGTCTCTTTCAGTCCAAGCTGGCAGTGTTTCTGCTAATATACCATTCTCCAAACATTGTGGATCTCTTGCGTATGTCATGGGATTGACTCCATTAGAAAAGATGTTCCTCCACAGATCGTTCCTGAATAATCCCATCTCCATTCTTGGTTTCTGTCGAGATGGTTGAGATGATCCACGAGTCACATATTTAATTTCTTCAGCAGTTAAAAGGGCGGGGGGGGGGGGGGGGGGGTGGAGGGGAAGGTGGTCCAGTCATGCCCTTGGCTTTCTCTGTAGCATCCTTTCCTAATAGTGAAGCTCCTAATTTCGCATCTTTTGCAATCTAGATAGGCTGAAAAATTTCCTAAATCATTAAATGTTGATTCCTTCTTGTGCTTTAATAGTTCTTCCCTCTATTGTTGTTCTCACATTTTACTATAAGCAACAAGGCAGGCTGCACCTTCTACACTTTGCTTGGAAATCTCCTCAGCTAAATATCATAACCACATAGAAATAAATTCCAATTAACTGTAAAACACATGAATTTTACTGTATCTATTAAGTCACAATCTAAAGATGAAAGAACAACAAAAAACCTTAACCTTCTATACTCATATTGGTGGTGCTTATGGTAACACTATTATTCTACAGCTGTTTTAGGTATAGAGGAGTAAAACAAATGAGCAATTATGTTTCTTGTTGCTGAGAATTTAGATTTCTGACATGGGAAAGATAAAATGTAGCTATCTCATTGATGAGGTTAAGTAAAAATTCTGTAGCCCAGATTTGTAGTAGAAACGTCACTATGAACCTGTAAAAAAGTCCTAGTTTCATCTACTGGTGGGGGTGAGGAGCTAGAAACAATTATCAATTCAGTAGTAGTGAGCAACCTGAATGCCCAGATAAAAGTTTCTAAATATTTGCTATTAGAAGGAAACAGTTCTGAGGTAGAAAATATGTAGATGAGCCTGGAATATCTTGTCATACCAGATAACAAAACGCTGTAGAAGATTACTAGGGACAAATCAAAAGACTTATGAGCCAACTTGAAGAGGCTCCCATGCATCAAAGATGGGACAAAAACAGTCATTACACTGATCCGAAACGAAAATACTTTTAAATCTGGGGAGGAGATATTCACGATGCTAAATTTTCAAAACAAAAACTATTTTGTGGGGAGAAAAAACCACTTAGAGAATACTAGGGAACTGTGTCAGGGATGCCCAAGACCCAGTTTTTCCACCTCGAGGTTTGATGATTTTAGAGGACTCATAGGACATAGCATATAGCTGTATTCACAGGTAGGACTTACCACAGCGAAAGGGTATGAAACAAAATTGGCAAGCGAAAAGGTGCATGGGGTAAAGTGTAGAGGAAAACAGGTTTCCACTCCAGCCTGAAAACTTAGTTTGAGTTTTTGTTTCAGAGGGACTACCTGAAGACAGTCAGTTCCATGTTGGTCCATGACATCAGGTTATCAGCCTCACGACTGTGGATGACATCTGGAGGTGTTCCGTGTGGGAAGTGCAGGAGCTGAGGCCACTCCCTGCTCTCATAGGTTTGAGCACAGGCTCAGCAGGCTGTTTGAATTCAAAGTGCTTGCAGCATCTTAAAAAGGTAGCATGGAAGTTTTTAGGGAAGAGCGGAAAGGCAGTATTGAAAAACAAAGATGATCAGTCTTTGCCTCCTTTGAGATTCCCTAGGTGCCAGGGTTTGTTTTTTGTTGTTGTTACAAAATCAGTATGTCCCATTTAGCAGTCATAGCTTCGCATTTAAAAAATTGTCCTCTACTCTCATCCAGACCTTTTGTCTGGAAGGGATATATTAAAGCGGGACAAAAGTTTTCACAGAATTTTTTTTTTTTTTTTTTTTTTTTTTTTTTTTTTTTTTGAGACAGTCTCACTCTGTTGCTAGGCTGGAGTGCAGTGGCACAATCTCGGCTCCCTGCAACCTCCCCCTCCTGTATTCAAGGAATTCTCCTGCCTCAGCCTCCCGAGTAGCTGGGACTACAGGTCCGCGCCACCATGCCCGGCTAATTTCTGTATTTTTAGTACATCCTGTTGTACATCCTGTTGGCCAGGATGGTCTCGATCTCTTGACCTCGTGATCTGCCTGCCTGGGCCTCCTAAAGCGTTGGGATTACAGGCATGAGCCACCGCACCTGGCCAGAAAATATTTTTATATAATGTAACCAGAAAGACATGCCATTTTCAGAACTGGTCAGAATTAAATCCTGAATTTTCAAAATATTTCAAAATGGTTTTAGAGAGCCACTCACTGCTTTCCTCCTGATCATTCATTTAGTAAGTGGCCTATAGCATCATTCCATTTCTGGAGACAGCTGCATTTAGTAATCAAACTGCCTTACTAAGGTGTGTGCACCAGTAGAAAGGTAGCAGAGTAGTGGCAAACTGGTAAGTCCACTGTTGCAAACGGCAGCTAGTCCAGAAGTCCCAAGTAAACACAGTGAAACTTTCCTAAGAGGTAGAGAGTAAGATGGGTAGGCACAGGGGTCACAGTCCTAGTGATATGCTTTCCCCTCAACATGTAGCTTTTGTCAGTAATCACAAGTTAGGAATGTAATCAGTCCCTGTATCAGAAATACAGAACAGATCAGCAGTTCGACTTCGTATGGTCCCACCAGAGAAGCCGGTTCCCATGGACACCTGTGATAATCCACGTAGTTCCATCAACATCCATTTTTTATAGTGAAGAGCCCCACAGAGGGGTATCCTGAATCTGCCTTGATCCCCAAATAGAAGTCGTCTTCCCTGAGCCTGTATCTCTTTCAGTTTAACACAGCTTGTGCTGAGACTGAAATAGTGTGTAGGAGGCAATGTCAAGTTTTAGCTCAAGCGTCAAGTCCAAGCAACTAGGATCTATGAATTCAGGATTCCAAAATATGCCAGAGACTTTTCTTTGGCAGCAGTAAAGCTGAGATGCTGAAGGGCCAGTCATGTTTCCAAGGCCAAGCAAAAAGCAAAGCTTTCCTAAGTGCTTTCTAAGACCCACTCAAAATTATGCACATCAGGCTAGAAAATCACCAGCCTCTAGGGTCAGACATCTGATTTTATATGAGCTCACTTGCAATTAAAAACTGCTTTAAAAATGTTTAGAAGTGTATGTCTTCCTTTTTCCAGAGGCTCCAATGGGCAAAAATCATAGTAAATATCATCGGCTGTGAGACATATTTTGCTTTCAACAAACGATTTAAATTTCCGTCTATCCTACAGCAGCAAAAAGCAAGGAAGCTGCGTCCCACTAACAACTTCTTTGCAGCATTGCCTTACTGAGCTAATCCCCCTCGCATCTGCGACATTACAAGCATAAAACATTTTACATCAACTTCTATCGTATATCCATAGATGTAATAACTGCAAAATACAAGGCCATTAACTGCCCCCGCTACCCCACCCTGGCCCGGCACCTTCCTCACTGCAGATGTATTCGACCCCTTGCAGTAAATTTAGCAAAAGGTTTAATATTACAGTTGCGGAGGAGACCCTATCTGGAATGGGGTTGAGGGCGTGCAGGTAGGCTAACAACTGAAGGATGTCCTCTGCCCTTTTTTACTTTGCTCCAGCCCTGAGAACTGATTCAACCTTTTTTCCTCCTACTTGTGAGGAAAGAGTGCCATAAATGTTTAACATTTTTGGCCCAACCAAAGCTCATCTTTGGGAATTTTTGGGCCTTTTTTCTTTCTTCCGGGAGGAGAGAACAAAAACTGAAGGTATTACCTGGGCTACACTTCTTTTTTCTCCTCACTGTAACCAGCATGGCCAAAAGTAGCCAGGTGATCTAGTGAGTCAGTTCTCCTGGAGTTGGATCTATCATTTGAAATTCGACAGGTAACTTTTACCTTTCATAACAGGCAACAGCTCAGCTGCTATTTCATATCATGGATAACTCCACAGCCATCCAGACATCAAAGGTTTTCCATACCTCTACCCATTTCATCCTTTCTTTTCTCAGTCCTTTTTTTTTTTTTTTTTGAGACAGAGGCTCCCTCTGTCACCCAGGTTGGAGTGCAGTGGCACGATCTCAGCTCATTGTAACTTCCACCTCCTGAGTAGCTGGGATTACAGGTGTGTGCCACACACCAGGCTAATTTTTTACATTTTTTGGTAGAGACGGGGTTTCACCAAGTTGGCCAGGCTGGTCTCAAACTCCTGACCTCAAGTGATCTGCCCGCCTCAACCTCCCAAAATGCTGGGATTACAGGCATGAGCCACCGTGCCTTGCCAGTCCTTCTGTTATATTTCTGTGAGTCAAAGGTCTCCACAACCGCCCCGTTTTGGTGATTTGCTAGGACTCAGGAATCAGCATAGCATACTCATGACTATGACTTATTACAACAAAAAGGTACAAAACAAAATCAGCAAAAGGAAAATATACTTGGGGCAAAGTCCAGAGGAAAGCAGGCACAAGCTTTAAGGATCCTCTCCTAATAGAGTCAGGTAGGATGTGCATGCTTAATCCCCCCAGCAATGGTCTGTGACAACATATATGAAATGTCTACCAGGGAAGATCATTACAGACTCAGAACCCGAGACTTCTATTGGGGGCTGGTCATGCAGGCGTCCTCTGCCAAAATCCCAGAGTCCCAGAGGGAAAGCAGGTTTTCAGCATAAACCAAATTAGTTGTACAAACAGGTTAGGCAAAGGGAGCCACTCTTCTCAGTTCTGGGAATGATGAGAACCTTACAGAAGTCCAAGCTCGCAGATGCCAGCTCAGGACCAATCCTGCAGGCAGGCCTTTCTAAGGACAGCAGTTTTAGGCCTATGATGGTAGTTAACTCTTCTGTATAGGAACCAACTTGTTTTTTGAAAACAAGTAAAGGGGGGAAGAAAGCATCTATCTTGCCCTATCACCCAGGCTGGAGTGCAGTGGTACCATCTTGGTTCACTGCAACCTCTGCCTCCTGGGCTTAAGCCATCCTCCTACCTCAGCCTCCCAAGCAGCTGGGACTACAGGCACACACCACCGTGCCTAGCTAATTTTTGTATTTTTTGTAGATGGGGTTTTGCCATGTTGCCCAAGCTCGTCTTGAACTTGTGTGCTCAAGCAACCTACCCGCCTCAGCCTCCCAAAGTACTGGGATTACAGGCGTGAGCCACTGTGCCCAGCTATCTTGCCTTTTCTATGGGGAATGTATCTCAGGGTGACCAGCTGTATGAACTTTTGTTTAGATTTGGATTCAAACTAACCGTTAAAAAATTATGACAACTGGGGAAATCTGAACGTTGTTTATTTGGATAATATTAAGAAATAGTGTTAATTTGTGGAGTGATAACATAATTTTAGGAGTTAATTTTAGGAGTGATGACATCATGTGGTTATGTTAAAAAGAATCTTTATCTTTTAGAGATACAGAGTGAAATATTTATAATTGAAATTAGGCCAGGTGCAGTGGCTCATGCAGGTAATCCCAGGATTTTGGGAGGCTGAGGTGGGAGGATTGCTTGAGTCCAGGAGTTCCAGACCAGCCTGGGCAATATAATGCAACTCCATCTTCACAAAAAATACAAAAGCTGTACATAGTGGCATGTACCTGTAGCTCCAGCTACTTGGGAGGCTGAGGCAGGAGGCTCACTTGAGCCTGAGTTCCCAGCTGCAATGAACTATGATCACATTACTGCACCCCAGCCGGGGCAACAGCAAGACCCTGTCTCTAAATGAAATCTGGGATTTGTTTCAAAACAATTTGGGGCTGGAGTGGTATCTAAGTTACAGTTATATAGGGGCTCATTATATTATTCTACTTTTATATGTTTTGAATTTTCTACTGAAAATAGTAATTTTACTTATTTTTTTCAGATGGAGTTTTGCTCCTGTTGCCCAGGATGGAGTGCAACAGCACCATCTCTGCTCACTGCAACCTCTGCCTCCTGGGTTCAAGTGATTCTCCTGCCTCAGCCTCCTGAGTAGCTGGGATTACAGGTGCCCGCCACCACGCCCAGCTAATTTTTATATTTTTAGTTAGAGATGAGGTTTCAACATGTTGGCCAGGATGGTCTTGATCTCTTGACCTTGTGATCCCCCGACCTTGGCCTCCCAAAGTGCTGGGATTACAGGTGTGAGCCACCATGCCTGGCCGAAAATATTAATTTTAAAAAGACATTTAGATTAGACGAGTGGCATTTAGTAATGGTAATGCCAGTCCTTTTGCTAGTGAGAGGTTCATAATTAGGCATCTGACACAATTCTGGCTGTAAAACATGGCTGCTTTTGGAAGGGTAGGGAAAAGGGAGTTCCAGAAAGAGTTCCACTGTTTCCAAAGGGAGAGAGACATGGTCTTTCTCTGGTGGTTGTGTTAAAATTGTTGCCTCTATCTGAAACCATAAAGGGAGCTGGCCTGCCGGTGGGGCCAACATCCCAAGGATGGCAGCTTAGAGAAATGAATAAAGACCTTACATCCCTATGACACTCACAGTTGAGACACTGACCACATTGGAATGGAGCCTGCCTTATTCTGGACTTGTTTTGTAAGATAACGTTTCCTCAATGTTTAAGCCACTTAGCACCCAATTCGAAGGGACCTATCTTGCAGAGTAGAGGCTGGCAAACTTTTTCTGTTAAAGGTCAAACAATAAATATTTTGGGCTTTATAGGCCATAAATCTTTGCTGCAGCTACTCAACTCTGCCACTGCAGCCGGAAAGCAGTCAAGGAAACAGGTAAACAAATAAGCATGGCTGTGTTCTAATAAAACTTAATGAATCTCTCTGGTCTTAGCCACAGAAGCAAGGTGACGAAGGCAACATCATCGTTTGGAAAGCGTCGCAATAAGACGCACACGTGCCACTGCTGTGGCTCTAAGGCCTACCACCTTCAGAAGTTGACCTGTGGCAAATGTGGCTACCCCGCCAAGCGCAAGAGAAAGTATAACGGCAGTGCCAAGGCTAAAAGACAAAATACCACTGGGACTGGTCGAATGAGGCACCTAAAAATTGTAGACCGCAGATTCAGGCACAGATTCCGTGAAGGAACACCACCTAAACCCAAGAGGGCAGCTGCTGCAGCATCCAGTTCATCTTAAGAATTTCAACGATGAGTAATGCAATAGATGTTCCGGTTTAAAAAAAAAAATTTTATGAATACTAAAGTTTGAACTTTACATAATTTATACATGTCACCATATAATACTCTTTTGGCTTTTTTCAGTCCTTAAAAAGAATGTAAAAACCATTTTAGCCTGCAGGCTGTACAAGGACAGATGACACGCTGGTGTTGGTTCAAAGGCCAGGCTATAGTAGTTTGCTAATCCCTGCTGTAGAGGAAGCATCGGAACTGATAACATTACGGTGTTAAATGATAATTCTTAGAATTTTTAAGAACAATTTAACAGAAAAGTACATATATCAACAATCAATTATTAATATAGTGATGATTTTGCTTATTTGCAACTGCTTATGACATACGTCCCCACACTATGTTGTCAAAGATATAAAAGCATACCAGTTTTACTAAACTTCATTAGAGTGCCTAATATTAATTTGCTTGTCTTCGTTATATGGGAGTTGCATCTATCATTTCAAATTCCAAAGGTAGCTTTTACATTTCACAATCGGCAAGAGCTGGTATTTCCATTTAATGGAATATATACCATATTTTATTATAATAGCTCCTTATCCCTCACTATCCAGAATTCTAGTTCCAGCACTGCCACCAACAGGCTAGGTAACCTTGGGTCAAGTCACTTAACTTCTGGGTCTTCCAGCTTAACAATTCAGCGTTAGGCTGGGCGCCGTGGCTCACGCCTGTAATCCCAGCACTTTGGGAGGCTGAGGCGGGCGGATCACTTGAGGTCAGGAGTTCGAGACCAGCCTAACCAACATGGAGAAACCCTGCCTCTACTAAAAATACGAAATTAGCCAGGCGTGGTGGCGGGTGCCTATAGTCCCAGCTACTCGGGAGGCTGAGGCAGGAGAATCGCTTGAACCTGGGAGGCAGAGGTTGTGGTGAGCCAAGATGGTCCCACTGCACTCCAGCCTGGGTGACAAAGAGCAAAACTGCATCTCAAAAAAAAAAAAGAACAAACAATTCAGCACTCATATGGGGAAAAGCATAAAAACTGTGGCCTAAAAAGATGGCTCCAGGGACATCCAGAATTGCTCTTTGGGCCCCAAATGCAAAATGGTTTTGGGGTTAGACCAGGGCTGATGTGGTGGTATAGATGCTCAATAACGTTCTTAATGTTTTTGAAGGACAGGATGAATTAGAACCAGAGGAAGTAATGGTAAAATATAATAAGCACTGGAGTAAGAAGTCCGGTCTAGTCTGAATTCTCTATGACAATCTTCTTTGATAAGTCATTTTCCCAATTGGGGTCTGTTTCCTTGTCTGAAAAATAGAGTGGATTAGGATGCTGTCTATTTCTCCACTAATTTTAGCACTCAACAGATCTTTGAAAGCATTCCATACAAATGTAATGCCTGGGGTCAAGAAAGCTCAGAACTACCTTCCCCCTGCCTGAAGACTGACTAGGTCACTTCTACGGTACTGATGCATCCGCTAGACTAGAGTGTTTCTTGAACCTTCACGTTCATATGAGTCATCTGGGGATCTTGTTAAAGTGAAGATTTGCATTCAGTGTATCTCTGGTGGGGCAGAGATAATACATATCTCACAAATTACTAGGAGATGCTGATGCTGCTGGTCCATGAAACACACTTTGAGTAGCATGGTAACAGTCTGTGAGAGTTGTCTGAAAGCTGTATTGTAGAAGCCATGAGGGAAGTAAAAAGGGCCAAGGAGCGAAGCATTTCTGCAGAGGAGGCCACTGAAGCAGCAGCTCGTTCTCTCCTTTACACCCTTCACAGTTTCTGTGGCACCTGGACGCTGCCACTGTAACCATCTGCTAAGAATCAGAAAGCTGGGAAGCTGCTTCAAGTGCCAATTCCCTAGACCTTACTTTATAATCTTTCTAATTTCTTTCCTCCATTTTCTTTTTATAGTTCTTTAATTTTGACCTAGTTTTGATCTTCTGCTTGGGATTCAAGAATTGAGAAGGCAAGTAAGTGCCTATGTGTTATGTTAGCAGAAGAAAATTTCAAGATGGAAGACACGAATTACTTATTAATAAGAGCCAGAAAAAAAAATTCAGCCAAAGAGAAACCTTAGTGGCTAAGAAGCAGAAGTTTCTAGGCATTTACTTTTTTAAAGTGAAAGTTTCAGGTTATAATAAAATAGAGTAAGAAGGGACCATTATTTGTACTTACTCTCTACCCACTGCAAAGTAATGAATAGAATTACCATTTAAAACTGCGGACTCTCAAGTTACCAACTCTGGAAAGGTCATTCATACAAGATTGAAATACAATACCATATTTCATACAACACAAAAAATCGGAAAAGAAGTGAATCAAGATCGAATATAGTGGGATATCAAGTATAGTGGGATAGCAAATATTTATTTGAAGAACTTTTAGGATAAAATTTAGCTTACCTCTGATAAAGCTGAAGAAAAATGATTGCAGTTTTTATGCATTAAATGATAAGCATTGCCTTTGTATTCTTTTCCCAGTTCTTCTACAATTTTTTCTATATCATCTTCTAGGAAGTCCGTGCTCCCTAAAACAACAGCTTCTCTTAAAGAACAAAAAGAAAAAAAAGAGAAAGAAAAATAAGGACATAGTTGTGTCAAATATTTATAAAAAGCATGTTTAAATACTTGCTTATTTCCAGGAATATTATGATCGACATAACAAATCAGGGTTAATATAACAAGACTAAAAGTGAAACAAGATACTTTAAAAGTCCTATTTTAGTTTCTACTTTTCTGCAATAAACTCTTAAGTATATTACCTATGAATACTACAAAAGCACAAGTCATTTTCTTTATGAAATATATGTCCTTATGTAACATGTAATATTACAGTTATTTTCACAACTATTGTATTAGCAGTTATATTATTAGGGAACCAGATCCATGCTGCAAATATTCCTGCGTAATTTCACTTGCCATTTAAGGGCTGGCCATAATGTCACCTAGAAACAAACTTTTAAGTTATCTGTCACTGTGCTGCAATGAGACAAACTGTCAAATCTGACTAAACGTTTTTTAAAAAGAAGGACCCTGGCCGGGTATGGCGGCTCACGCCTGTAATCCCAGCACTTTGGGAGGCCGAGGTGGGCAGATCACCTGAGGTCAGGAGTTCGAGACCAGCCTGGCCAACACGGTGAAACCCCCGTCTCTAAAACAATACAAAAATTAGTCGGGCATGATGGCAGGTGCCTGTAATCCCAGCTACTTGGGAGGCTGAGGCGGAAGAATCGCTTGAACGCAGGAGGCAGAGGTTGCAGTGAGCCGAGATCGTACCACTGTACTCCAGCCAGGGTGACAGAGCAAGACTCCATCTCTAAACAAACAAAAATTAAAAGGACTCCAAACTACTACCTTGGAAAGGCGACAGACATTATCCAAGAGAAAGTGGAATTTTAGTCAGATAAAAGGCATCCAAGGAACCTGAAAATACTTAGAAAATCCTTTTATCAAGTAGTCTTGCCAAAAGAGAGCCCGAAGGAGTGGATTCAGGATGGTATCATAGCACTTACGTGCGAAAATCTTTCAATTCAGTGATAGGCTAAGAGAACTATGAACTTAGTAGAGGGCTTAATGTGTAGCTCTCTACTGAAGTTTAATGTTGGAACCTCATTTCACTGTCTCTTTTTCACTTGGCAAGCCATCTATTATAGGCCCAGAAGTTTAAAGCTCCTTGAAACTCACATTCTAAATATCACTTTTTTTTTTTTTTTTTGGTGAGACGGAGATTTACTCTTGTTGCCCAGGCTGGAGTGCAATGGCGCGACCTCAGCTCACCGCATCCTCTGCCTCCCAGGTTCAAGCAATTCTCCTGCCTCAGCCTCCCGAGTAGCTGGGATTACAGGCATGTACCACCATGCCTGGCTAATTTTATATTTTTAGTAGAGACGGGGTTTCACCGTGTTGCCCAGGCTGATCTCGAACTCCTGACCTCAGGTGATCCGCCTGCCTTGGCCTCCCAAAGTGCTGGGATTACAGGCATGAGCCACTGCACCCGGCCCTAAATATCACTTTAAATACAAACCTCAATTAAGGAATGAAAATTTTATTATTAACATTTATATTCTCATTCTCAGCAAACTATCACAAGGACAGAAAACCAAACACCGTATGTTCTCACTCATAGGTGGGAACTGAACGATGAGAACACTTGGACACAGGGCGGGGAACATCACACACCAGGGCCTGTCGCGGGGTGGGAGCCTGGGGGAGGGATAGCATTAGGAGAAATACCTAATGTAAATGATGAGATCATGGGTGCTGCAAACCAACATGACACATGGATACCTATGTAACAAACCTGCACGTTGTGCACATGTACCCTAGAACTTAAAGTATAAATAAAAAAAATTATATTCTCACTGCTTTTTATTACTCGTAAGACTCCAGTGAACACTTACATCCATATATTTTAGGTTTATCATTACATGTAATACATGTACCTTAACAATGGATTCTACGCTAATCAACTGTTTAATTATTTCAAACGTGTAAAGTGTCCCTTTCATTGGGACAATAAAGACATTTTTAATTTGCTAGGTAGGTCACAATAAAACTTTTTCTCCTTTCAAACAGGAGATTGAGGGGAAGAAATCATTAGAAAGGAGTTTCCTGGGCTGGGCGTGGTGGCTCACGCCTGTAATCCCAGCACTTTGGGAGGCCGAGGCAGGTGGATCACCTGAGGTCAGGAGTTCAAGACTAGCCTGGCCAACATGGCGAAACTCCATCTCTACTAAAAATACAAAAATTAGCCGGACGTCGTGGTGCACGCCTGTAATCCCAGCTACTTGGGAGCCTGAGGCAGGAGAATCGCTTGAACCTAGAAGGCGGACGCTGCAGTGAGCTGAGATCACGCCACTTCTCTCCAGCCTGGGAGACAGAGTGAGACTCCATCTCAAAAAAAAAAGGAAAAGAAATGAGTTTCCTGAGGCAAACTTGAGTTATATAAAATGTCAGCAATTAAAACAAAGAGACATTTTTAACTTCTTGGGTTTGTTTTGATTTACAGAATGAATTCTGTATACCTGAAAACAAGCTATGGCACCTAAGACAGTGTAATAAAAATTATCCTCCCTACTTACTTAAATTTAAATGTTTCTCCTAGTTCAGAAGCATTTCCTGGGGAAATTTCAAATATTCCAGAAAAGGGGTAAGGATGGCCACCATAAGCAAATTCTGAAAAGAGAAAACTCATGATTTTTAGTATGTATCACATAAAATTTAACCAGAATGCTGAATTAGCTTTAATAATTGAGGATAACAGTGACACCATCTAAATATTTTTCAGTTTATAAAATGCTTTCACAAATATCTCACTTAGCTATTACTCGTATAAACAGTTGTCACAAAAGACCCGAAACTCAAATAACAGAAGACACTCAAAGATATTCTTGCCTGCCATATTTCCCTTTCTTATCATGGCAGGAAGAGAGTGATCAACACACAGAGGTATATACAGTTCTCTCTGCCTGTCTATATCATGCCAGTCTAGGCAGGTGGTCAGTTCAGTGTTTTGCCACTTTCTAAGTTAAAGTGATCCAATTTCAAACACATATCTTACTGGAGAAACTGTCTAGTAACAGTGAGTTTCATGGTTTCTGGGATAAAGACTATTGGTTTATCTTTGAGTAGGGTGGAACATTACCAAACCTAAAACACTACTCAATTCTCTTCATGTAAGAAAAAAATAAACTGCCAAATTAACACACATACCCATCCACCCTCCCATCCAATCACCACAGCAAGTCTTTTAGCTAGGATAAACTATTTTTTGACTGTACATCCAATACAAAATGTACATCAGATACAAACTCTGGAGAACAAAATGGAGAATAATTTTAGATAAAAAATTCCTGTAATTTTCTGTTATTTCACTTAGATATTTCAGTGGCTAAGTCTTAGTAGACAAATTTAAAGAATTCCAAACCATGCTTAAATCAACTTCATCACTTTAAAAATATACCTTAAAAGGTCTTAGAACAAAGCACAGGAAAGAACAGGCAGATACTAAATTTACTTTTAATTCAGACCTGTTCAAAAAAAGCAATGATGTAGTTTGAGAAATAAAGTGGCTATTTTGAAACATAATTTTTAAAGTTTTTTAGTGACAAAATTTTACAAAATATTGTAGATTATCAGGTTGGAAGGGATAAGATTATATTTGGATTCTTAACTTTCTCAATTATAGTACGGAAAGTCACAGACCCATTCTTTTATTTAAAAAGCAATCACTAATTTTCAGGAATATATTAATATTTGATTCTAGCTTTACTAAATTTACATGAACATGTTTTGAAACATGTTTCTAATTATTACTAAATAATTTTATGAAGGGGAGCAATGATTAGGGAGATAATAGAGCCACGGACTAGCATACAAGAACATTTGGGTTCAAGTTTGAGTTAATTATTAGCATGATGACTTCCAGCAGGTTTGGGCCTCAGTTTCTTCAGCTGAAAAATGGAGAAGATGGCACCTGCCCTTACCTAACCCACCATGATCATGTGGTTCAAAACTTGATGGCATTTTAAGAACAGTAACACATCACACAAATTCAAGAAATACACATGCAAATTTGGCAAAAGCCAAATCAGCCAAAAGAGTAACCCCACAGACTATGATCCCACCCACAGCAATACTCCCAAGCATGAAACTTCCAGCAAGAGCCCCTCAGTATTTCCTGGGATTATTTGGTAGATGCAGACTTTCAAGTAAAATAGAGCTTAAATGGCAGATTTTTATAGCCAACATTTAATATGCTAAACTTCACCTGGAAGCAGGTAAAATGGAATATAAAAAAGAGTATAACCACCATACTGACACATTTAAGTAAATGAGTCTTTTCTTTGTATTGGTTAAAACTGGTGTATAGTGTTCAGGGGTAACCCTCAGTAAACTGCAATAATATATTCTTAAGAGGTCACAAAGACTGCCTAGCTGAAGCGAACAAAGGCATTTCTGCTATAGGGTTAGTTTATAATTCAAAATGATACATTGAATGAAATCAGCAATGTGATCTGTCTTACGCAGACCATTACTATTAGTTACAACTTGATCAGGGGTAGATTATCTTGCATCAAGAGTAGGAATTAGCACAGTGGAAAAAAACTGTTGAAAACACAGCTGCTTGGTTTGAGTGACTCCTGACATGTTTATCCTAATAAAGGGTTTTAATAAGGAGAATGAAAAGGGCTGAGTTAATGACAAAGGGCATGATTAGATGTAATCATGGCAGGATTTGCTCAGCAATGTTTTTAGACTTCAAAAACTTATAGATTTTATAAGACGTATAGGTCTACAAACCAAATTTATTACTGAAATTCCCTCAGGAAATTGGTATTTCAAGTCTGACACTTTCTAGCACCAACCTTTCCGACCAAAATTATTGTTTTTATCATGCTATTTTCGAAATGCAAGGTTTCTTAGGAGCTCCAATATATATGAGAACAAAACAAACTGTCATTTTATGACAATCACAAAAGGAAAATATTTTTTAAAACATAGTATTTAGAATAAAAGATAAAGTGAATGAAGCAAATGTATATTCTTGTATTTTGAGTACTTTCTCCCCAAATACATTCTACTTTGGGCATTTTTCCAAAACGCAGTATAAATGAATATGGGGAGATTTTCTTCTACTTTCTGTAATAACATATGCAAGTGGTTAAAAAAAGAGAGACCTATAGTTATGATTTTGCAACTCTTTTAAAGTACAAAATCTTCAGAGAGTATATTTAGACTGTGTGTACACGTACCTCTGCCATAGACTTCAATTCCTGAATGAAAAACTCCAATTCCAATGGATGAGGTATATTCGTTCATCCAATACTGAGAAAAAAAGAAAGAAAAGATTCAGAATACCTGTTCATTTACAACCCAACTCCGCGCTACAGAAGTGACTGCTCCCCAGTCTTTCACTCTGAAACTCCCATGATAACGATCCAGTGGTCCTGTCTCTGTGGCTCTGTGCCTTTGCCTGTACCACATCTGGAATGCCTTCCTGGGTCAAAATAATTGTCGCGATTTGAGTATAAGCACATTATCTAAGGCTTCTAGGGGAAGCAATACAATTAAAAGCTTGATCAGTTTGTGGGGCGGTGGGGGGAGAGATTATATAAGAGCTCTGCTGTTAGTGACTTACACACACACACACACACATACACACACACACACAGAGTGTGCTTTCATATCTATTTTTCTCCTATCCTAAGCTTTTCTTCTTATTCTTTGGTGAGCTCCCTGAAAGCAGAAATATTTTATTCTTTTTCAACAAACATTTACGGCATGTATCATGTGTCCTGATTCAGCTCAAAGTTTGATAATGGTAATAATATAAGAATAAACAATGCACAAAGGTTAGAACAACATTCTTACTTCTTACCATTAGCATGAATAAAAACCTCCCAGAAAAGTAATATCTGAACTGAGTCTTTAGGAACAAATCAGATTTCCCAGTAAGAAAACTGGGCCATGGGGCCCATGGGGATGGACAGAAATGCCAGGAAGAGGGAAGAGGATGTACATAGGTTATATGATAAGAAATTACAGGAAATGACTGTGAAAGGGGTTAAAAAGGTGAAGTGGAGGGGGTTAAACTGAGAAAAAGGTAAATGAGTTAAGAGCTCACTAAACAAAACACTTAGGTAACACTCAAAAGTGTTACAAACCTATTGGATGTCTCCCAGGTTAGGGGACAGATAATTTATCTTTAATTGTTCTAGGTTTATTCAAGTCTTAACCTTGGCTCCAGACCCCTAGCCAGTCTTTCTCAGACCTACACACATTCTCACGCATTGCTGGAAGAAGCATAAATGAACAAGTCAGTTGTGTTTTTTTCTAAAATGTACCTGGGGCCGAGCGTGGATAAAAATAAAATAAAACGTACCTGGAAGAAGAATTAAGCAATCATAAATAAATATATGAAAACAAGGAATTTTCCCATCTAGAAATTGAAATATTCATTAAAACAATATGGCATTGTTGCAGGAACAGATCCTGGTACAGACCCTTGTATATATAAGAATTTGATATATGATAAAGGAGATATTTAAAATTAATGACAAAGTATGACTTACTAAAAGCATGTTGACAAAATTGATTATGCATAAATTTCATGTATAAAAATTCTAGTGTGTCTAAAAATAACTATATATGGATAGAAGGGAATAGAGTTTTAAAAATTTTAGGTGGGAAAAGACAACCTAAGTAAAGTAAAATCCTAGAATTTACAGAGGAAAATATCAACAGATATTCTACATAAAAATGTACAACTTTTTATTTTATAAAACTACATAAAAACAAGATAAAAAGATAAATAATATGCAAAAAGAGAGAATCTGTGTGGATATAACAAAGATTCATATGAGAATATAAGTATCCCTCTTGATCGGAATTTTTTGAGTTCCTGATTTTGGAGAGCCAGAATTTGGATGGCAAGTTAGGAAACGAAGGCTACATTTTTTTATGTGAATCAATTTGATTTTGGAAGGAGAGTAGTAAGATTACATACAGTAAGGATTCTTCAAAACATTTACCCAAATCTATTTAATCCCAGAGTTTGGGCAGCAAAAGTTCAGATATGAGTATACTTGTGAAAATCAATGAAAGTGACTTAACCATTTCACCTTCTGGAATCTATTCTATAGAAATACTAGTACATATGCAAAGCCATGTCCCAGGATATTAACTGTAGTTGTCTACAAGTACTGAAAAACTGAAGTCTAAATATCAATAGAGAAATGGCTAATTATGGTACATTCATATTATAAACTATCAATCAAAAAAAGAATAAGGTTGACTTGGGAAAATTAGCTGAGATTTTTTTTTTAAAAAAGAAAAAAGAATGAGGTAACTCGATAGATATTTAAAAACCACATAAAATAAAAAGATCAAGTCATAATATGTGTAGCATGATCACATTTTTGAAAAATAAGTTAGCCTGAGGATATACTTACATGTTAAGTATGGGATGACAAAATCAAACTACCACCAATTGCAACAAAAGAAAGGTCTGAAGCACCTGTGTTCAACTGTTAACAATTTGGCCGAGAGGAGTACACGTGGCTAGGGTGGGAGTGGAGGACTAAAATGCAATACTTTCAGTTTTAGCTCCATACATTCAGGATTGTTTGTTCTTCTAAATTTGATAAAGAGTATTACTTTTATAGTTAAAAATGTTATTTTAAAGTAAAATGCTATTATCTTAGTTTAACAGGTTTTTATTTATTTGAATCTTTATACTATAGTAAAAGAATAGGTTGCACATATAAAAAACCATAAGCATAAGACTATTAACTGCAGTATTATTTATGTTAGTAAAATGTTGACAACAGCCTAAATGTTCATTTATAGGGTCCTAGTTACATAAACTATGATATATCTATATAATGGAATACTCTTTAGCCATAAAAAGAGGGGAAGGGCTCAGTGTGGTGGCTCACACCTGTAATTCCAGTACTTTGGGAGGTTGAGGCGGGAGGACAGCTTGAGGCCAGGAGTTCAAGACCCCCCTAGGCAACACAGGGAGACCCAATCTCTTAAAAAAAAAAAAAAATTAGCCAGGTACCCGTGGTCCTAGCTACTTGGGAGGCTGAGGTGGGAGAACTGAGCCCGGGAGTTTGAGGTTGCAGTGAGCTATGATCACACCACTGCACTCCAGCCAGGGCAACAAAGTGAGACCCTGTCTCTAAAAAAAAATTCAAAAAGTGTTGGGGCAGGTGTGATGCTCTTAAGGAACTAAGAGGAAGAGGAAGTAATTTCCAGGATATATTTGTTAGGGAAACAAAAGCAAGTTGCAAAGTAATATATGGCAAAAGGCTGGGCGCGGTGGCTCACGCCTGTAATCCCAGCACTTTGGGAGGCTGAGGTGGGCGGATCACAAGGTCAGGAGATCAAGACCACCCTGGCTAACATGGTGAAACCCTGTCTCTACTGAAAATACAAAAAATTAGCCGGGTGTGATGGCGGGCACTTGTAGTCCCAGCTACTCAGGAGGCTGAGGCAGGAGAATGGCATGAACCTGGGAGGCGGAGCTTGCAGTGAGCCGAGATCACGCCACTGCACTCCAGCCTGGGCGACAGAGCGAGACTCTGTCTCAAAAAAAGAAAAAAGTAATAATATATGGCAAAGACTTAGACTCCTGAACCTTCTCCTAGGCCCATGTGTACACGTACTTGTAAAATCAGGTTTTAGCAAAGAATCTTGCTAATTCAGTTCAGCAAGAACCCCCAACCCTTGCTATCTGATCACCTCCATATCTGGTCAGGTTCCTCATCCTCCACCATCCCCCTGGTGATGCCAGATCTTCACTAGGAAATGTGTTAGGTTGGTTTAGCCAGAACCCCCCTGGATCCCTAATGTTTCCTCTTAGAAATTTTCCATCCACTGACCCTCCACCCTGCTCCCTGGCTGCAAATTCCCATTTGCCCATGCTGTGTTTGGAGTTGAACACAGTTTCTCTACTCCACTGCAAAATCCCATTGCCATGGCCCCTCTACCTATCACAATGGTCTTGAAAAGAGTTTGCCTTACTGTGCTTTAACAAATATCACTGAGTTTTTTTTTTTTTTTTGACAACACACTATATACATGCTTTTGTATGAGAATGTCTGTATCTACATCTTACAGCCAGCAAACAACTCCTGCAGACCAATCTGGCCCCCCGCCTGTCTTTGCAAATAACGTTTTATTGGAACACAGCCACGCTCATTTGTTTGCAAATTGTCTGCGTGGCTTTTATGCCACAATGGCAGAGTTGAGTGTGATAGATAACCAAAATATTTACTATCTGGTTATTTACAGAAAAAGTTTGTGTAAGATCCCTGTCATATGCAAATATCTATTTTTTTACAAAAAAGAAAAAGAAGAAAAAACCAGAAAATTATGAAAATAGTTACCTACCAGAGGTGGATGAAAGGGAAAGAGATAGGAGACTTCCTGGGATATCTTTTCATATATAGTTTTGACATTTGAACGATGTAAATGTTTTTCACAAAGTTAAACTTTGAAATAGAAAAAGAAGTGAGAAGTGAAGCCAGCTGGACTTCCTGGGTCAGGTGGGGACTTGGAGAACTTTTCTGTCTAGCTAGAGGATTGTAAATGCACCAATCAGCACTCTGTAAAAATGCACCCATCAGCGCTCTGTAAAAAACAGACCAATCAGCACTCTGTAAAATGGACCAATCAGTGGGATGCGGGTGTGGCCAAATAAGGGACTAAAAGCTGGCCACCCAAGCCAGCAGCCACAACCTGCTCAGGTCCCCTTCCACGCTGTGGAAGCTTTGTTCTTTTGCTCTTCACAGTAAATCTTGCTGCTGCTCACTCTTTGGGTCTGCACTACCTTTATGAGCTGTAACACTGACCACAAGGGTCTGCAGCTTCATTCCTGAAGTCAGCGAGACCACGAACCCACTGGAAGGAAGAAACTCTGGACACATCTGAACATCTGAAGGAACAAACTCCAGACACACCATCTTTAAGAACTTAACACTCACCACGAGGGTCTGCGGCTTCATTCTTGAAGTCAGTGAGACCAAGAACCCACCGGAAGGAACCAATTCTGGAAACAGAAGTACACCTCAAAACCGAAGTCAAACAAAAACAAATGAACCTAGTTGTGTATCAAATTGATAATCACACAGATAATAAAAAAGAAATTAACTTCTGAATACAGTATTCTGTCTATATACCCTTACTGAGATATATACTAAGGACAAAATGAAGTGCAAAGAAATCTCAAACTGAGACGTGTTGTTCATAGTGGTACTGGTGTAATTCCAAAACTATTTGTATGTACTACAGGACGTGTATGTACCAAGAGGTGGGCAGCTGTGGATGCAAGAGATCTAGGTTGTGCGTTCCTTATGAGAATCTAACAAATGCCTGATGATCTGAGGTGGAACAGTTTCATCTTGAAACCATCCTCCCTCCCCCGCCCCAGGTCCATGGCAAAATCATCTTCCACGAAACTAGTCCCTGATGCCAAAAAGGTTGGGGACTGCTATGCTCTAGTAGAGAGCAAGTGAGTACATATACTGATGGTGGGAACCAGAGTTGTCAGGGTAGTAGAGGGAGATAAAAAACACAGAAGAGGAAATGGAATGGAAGAAGCCCGTGGTACTGGATCGTAACGGGAAGCATCTGTATAAACTCATAAAGAATATATATTATTACCTAGCTTGCCCACTGAAGTAGAAGCAATGAACATACTGTCCAGATCTTGGTTTCTCTTCCTAAAAGGAATCAGGACTCTGGAGAAATGGTTGATTCAAAGTTAGGGCAAAAATGTGTAAGGTGAGACTTGCTCAAAGAATGATGGCCACATGTCAAGATTATAGAGAAGCTGGCCTAAAGCAGTTTTCATTAGTCAACCATGGGAAAAGGTGAACATCAAAAAGAATAATGATAATGGACTATAGCATATTGAATAAAAAGACTATCTCAGAGTCCATGGTAATACTTAAAAAAAAAAAAAAAAAGTAAAAGGAGGAAAGCTCTTTTTTTAATAGAAGCCAGCCAGCTAGTACAAGTAGACGAAAGGGCAAAATTAGGCAATCACCATTTTGTTGCCACCAGTTGAGTCAGGCAAAGATCATGGATGATAAAACCATTAGAAGAAAGGCTGTTTAAGAATGATATACACAATGTCTCAAAGTATCACCTCCTTCTCCCCTGCCATTTCTCCCCATTTGTTGCACCAATGTCACTTGCCAACCCCCACTATTTTTCCTAAATAACAAAGAAAAAAGATATCTTTGCAATGGAAAAATATGGTGTATATCACCTTATCAATACTAAGTGATTGAACTGAGCATCATTAATAGTTGGACCAATTGATATTATGTGCCTTTGGATGTGACGAAATACAAAAGCTACATTTGCTTTGTTAGTTTTCCTGTCAAATGTGTTAAACCAGAAGACAACCATAAGGAAAAATCAGGTAAGTCTGGACTATGAGACATTCTACAAGAAAACTGGCCTGGTCTTTTTTTTTTTTTGAGACAGGGTTTGGCTCTGTTGCCCAGGCTGGAGTGCAGTGGCCTGATCTCGGTTCACTGCAGGCAGGGCTCAAGCCATTCTCCCACCTCAGTTTCCTGAGTAGCTGGGACTCCAGGCACATGCCACCATGCCCAGCTATTTTTTATACAGACAGGGTTTCATCATGTTGTCCAGGCTGGTCTCGAACTCCTAGGCTCAAGCAATCCACTTGCCTTGGCCTCCCAAAGTGCTGGGGTTACAGACATGAGCCACTGTGCCTGGCCATGGATGGCTTGGTTTTTAAAAAAATATCAGTGTTAGCAAAGTCAAAAGAAGGCAGAGGAAGGGTGGGCTACTCTTACGGCAATTAAAGGAAGTGAATGAACCTCGACTGGATCCTAGATTTTTTGTTTAAAAAAAAAAAAAAAAGGCTAAAAAGAACCATTATTGGAACAATTGGGGAAAACATGAATATAGACTATATATTCAATAATACTACATCAATTAAAAACTTCTTGGGTGTGATAACAGCACTATGGTTAGGTAGAAAATGTCTTTTTTTTTTTTTTTTTTTTTTTTTTGAGATAGAGTCTCTCACTCTGTCACCCAGGATGGAGTGCAGTGGCGCAATCTGGGCTCACTGCAACCTCCACCTCCCAGGTTCGAGCGATTCTTGTGCCTCAGCCATGCAAGGGGGATTACAGGCTTGTGCTGAAATACCTGGATAATTTTTGTATTTTTAGTAGAGATGGGGTTTTGGCATGTTGGCCAGATTGGTCTCAAACTCCTGGCCTCAAGTGATCCACCCTCCTTGGCCTCCCAAAGTGCTGGGATTACAGGCGTGAGCCAACACGCCAAGCCAGAAAATGTCTTCTTGGGAAATACATACTAAAGTATTTAGGGATGAACTGCTATGTTTGTGACTTACTTTCTATGTGATCTGTGTGTGACAGAGTGTAGGACGGGTGTGAGAGAAAGTAAATGTAGCAAAAGGTTAAAAACTGGTACATCTGAATGAAGGGTATATACAGATTGTACTCTTCCTTCAACTTTTTGGGAAGGTTTAAAAAATTTCACAATAAAAAATTTGGGGGAACTAAAGAGAATAATCTAGTCCTCGCCTCCTTACAAGAGATGCATTTCTAAGTTTCTTGCTATCCTCTTACTTTCTCCCCCTTTTCACAGAAAAAGACCAGCCTGGGCAACATGGTGAAACCCCATTTCTACAAAATACAAAAAGTTAGCTGGAAGTGGTGGTGCGTGCCTGTAGTCCCAGCTACCCAGGAGGCTGACATGGGAGGATTGATTACCTGAGCCCAGGAGGTCGAGGCTTCAGTGAGCTGTGATTGTGACACTGCACTCCAGCCTGAGCGACTGAGTGAGACCCTGTCTCAAAAAAAAAGAAAAAAAGAGAAAAAGAGTGGAAAATACTGCAAGGTATCACGCCAGTTCACATAAAAATTTTGTTAGGCTTTCTCCACGTAGTGGTTTCCTTGGCAGCCAACTTCTAGGACTTAAATTGCCTTTTCCAATTGAGAAATCCCATTGTTTATACAGTTTGCAACCAATAATTTGGTCTGTATACTGTTGATTTCCTTAACGACAGCACCAAAAGGTTTCTGTTCCGGATGCAGGCGGCTCTATTTTAAAGTGGGCTATTCTCTTCTTGCAGCACAGCTTCTTTTTCAAAATATAGAATATTATCCAAAAAGAGATGTATACATAATGGTTTGGCTACAATAATCAAAAGGTTTTAAATGCTTAGTAAATGGAACATTTCCATTTTATGTTCAATATCACTTAATTTTAACAATCTCTTCAGTTGAGCAGTAAATAGCCTTCTGAAAGTGATTTATTGTAAATTTCCATAACAGGAACCCAAAGGTTTTATTAAAAAATGGGAAAGATATTCATGAAAAAGAGTTATGCCCGAATGTTGACTTTTGGTAAAGAATTAGGATGAGAATGAACTTATCAGAGTGGGCATCCTAAACTCAGAAATCTTTTATTCTCTGCCTTTTCACAAATGAAAATAATTTCTTCTATGCTTGGGGATTCCATGCTTAGAACTCCTATATGTTGCCTGAGTACTATACTTCTTCAGTCTGAAAATTCCTTGTATTCAAGATTTTACATTCTAAAAAATAAAGGTATATTTTGACACATTTTATAAAGGGGAAAACTGTAAAAAGAAACTTAAAAGCAAGAGAAATATTCCATCCACAAATGTGGTCAGTAGTTTGGAATTCACTATAATGAGATGTGGCCTAAATAAAGTTTCTAAAGAAATGCTGAGACAGTACAATGAAAATGAGTATCTGCTTGCTTTGCAAGTGGTACTGTTACCTCCACTCTCAGATAGAAAGTTGAACTATCAGGTCAACTGTTCCTGCTCAAGATTATACAAAGCCCACAAGTTGCTAGGAAAATGATTTCTAAACCTAGAGATATATTCCTTTGGACAGTATTAAACAGTGTAAGTCCACCCCTCACTCCTAACATCATCATCATTATTACTGTTATTTTTTTAGAGACAGGGTCTCACTCTGTCGCCTAGGCTGGAGTGCAGTGGTACGATCATAGCTCACTGCCTCCTCAAACCCCTGGGCTGAAGCAATCCTCCTAACTCAGCCGCCTGAGAAACTGGGACTAGAGGCATGCACCACCATGCCAGGCTAATTTTTTAACTTTTATTTTTGTGGATGCAGGGTCTCGCTATGTTGCCCAAGCTTGTCTTGAACTCCTGGCCTCAAGCAATCCTCCCACCTTGGCCTCCACAAGTGCTGGGATTACAGGTGTGAGCCATGCCCAGTACTGTGCCCAGACTCATTACTGTTATTTTTTTGAAGGCTCTGTTTCAATATTCTGTGCAAGGCAAAAATTAATGTTGACGTTGCTTATTCATTGTTAGCAATAATAATGATGAACTCAGTAGTTCTTTGTTTTTCACATTTCCTTATATTTTCTATCCTCAGAAAGGACCCCCAGAAGTTGAAGAGTTAATTTCTTTGTAAAGTTAAAGTAGCGATCTATTTACTGGTTAAAAATCTATGAAGAGACATCTCTACCAACCTAATGGAAATGAAAAGGATTCCAAGGAAGACTAAGAACAACTGTATGCCAACAAATTATATAACTGAGATGAAATGGACAAATTCACAAGCTACCAAAACTGACTCAAGAAGATACAGAAAATCTAAATAACCTCTAATGAGAAAAGAATGAACTAGTAATTTAAACACTACCCACAAAGAAAAGCCCAGGACCAGGGGACTTCACTGGCAAATTCTACTAAATTAAACAAGAATCAATACCAATTCTTCAGAAGCTCTTCCAAAATACAGAAGAAAGGGGAACACTTCCCAACTCATTCTATGAGGCCAGATAAACCTGATACCAAAACAAAGACATCACAAGAAACAGAGACTAATATCTATTATGAAAACAGACTCAAGGATTATATAACATGACCCAGTGGGATTTATCCCTGGAATGGAAGGTGGGCTTAATCTTAAAAAAAAAAAAAAAAAATTAATGTAATATACCATATAAAGGACAAAATCCCCATGATCATCCCAATAGACAAAGAAAAGCACTGGACAAAATCCAATACCCTTTCATGATATATATATATAAAATATATATAATATATATTTTATACAATATATAAAATATACATTGTATATATTTTTAAAATCTATTCAATAAACTAGGAATAGATGGAAATTTCCCTAAGCTGATAAAGAACATCTATGAAAAACCTCACAGCTAATATCATACTTAACGGTGAAAGACTGAATGCTTTCCCTTTAAAATAAAAAATAAGATAAGAGTGTCTGCTCTTGCCACTTCTGTTAAACACTGTGCTGGAGATTCCAGCCAGGGCAATTACTGAAGAAGGAAAAATTAAAGGCATTCAAACTGGAAAAAAAGAAGTAAAATTATCTCATTTTGCAGATGATATGATATTATATACAGGAAAATCATAAGGAATCCACTAAAAAATTACTAAAACTAATAGATAAGTTAAAAACATTGCAGGGTACAAGATCAATATATAAAAATCGATTGTAGGCCAGGCGCGGTGGCTCACACCTGTAATCCCAGCACTTTGGGAGGCTGAGGCGGGCGGATCACGGAGGTCAGGAGATTGAGACCACCCTGGCTAGCACGGTGAAACCCTGTCTCTACTGAAAATACAAAAAATGAGCCGGGTGTGGTGGCAGGCACCTGTAGTTTCAGCTGCTCGGGAGGCTGAGGCAGGAGAATGGCCTGAACCAGGGAGGTGGAGCTTGCAGTGAGCTGAGATCGCGCCACTGCACTCCAGCCTGGGAGACAGAGCAAGACTCTGTCTCAAAAAAAAAATTGATTGTATTTCTATACACTAGCAATAAGCACTCAAAAAATGAAATTAAGAAAATTCCATTTACAGTTACATAAAAAATAAACTTATGGATACATTTAAGAAGTTCATAAACTGTATCTGAAAACTACAAAACATTGTTGAAAAAAATTAAAGAAGACCTAAATAAATGGAAAGACATTCCACGCTTGTGAACTGGAAGATTTAATACTGTTAGGATGGTAATACTCTCCCAAGTTGACCTGAAGATTCACTGCCATTCTTGTCAAAATCTCAGCTGCCATTTTTTGCAGAAATTGACAAATTTAAAAATTCATATGGAAATTCAAGAGACCTAGAATAGCTAAAACAATCTTGAAAAAGTTATAGGACTCAGACTTCCTGATTTCAACATTTAGCACAGAGCTACAGTAATCAAGACAGTGTATTACTGGCATAAAGATAGACATACAGATCAATGAAACAGAATTCAGAGTTCAGAAATAAGCCCCTATAATGATGGCCAACTGATCTTTAACAAAGGTGCCAAGACAATTCAGTGGGAAAAGAAGAGTCTTTTCAACAAATAGAACTGAGACAACTGGAAATCCACATGCAAATGAATGAAGCTGGTCTTCTACCTCATGCCATATATAAAAATTAATTTAATGGATCAAAGACCTAAATGCAAGAGCTTAAATTATAAACTCTTGGAAGAGAAGCATATCTTCATGATCTTGGATTACGCAATGGCTTCATAGATATGACACCAAAAGCAAAAGCAACAAAAGAAAAAAATTGATGAAAGCAGAATTTAAAACTTTAGTGCTTTGAAGAACACTATCAAGAAAGTGAAAAGGGAAACCACAGCCTGGGAGAAAATTTTGGCAAGTCATATACCGACAAGGGACTTATATGTAGAATACATATAAGAACTCTTAGAACTCAACGAGACACATAACCCTACTAAAAAATGGGCAAAGGATCTAAAAAAAAGTATTTCTTCTAAGAAGATACGCAAATTAAAACCACCATTATCTATCATGTCACACCTACTCAGATGACTATAATCAAAAAGACAGATAATAACAAGTGTTAGGATGTGGAGAAATTAGAACTCGAATACATTACTGGTGGGAATGTATCATGTTACAGCTGCCTTGGAAAACAGTTTGGCAGTTCCTCCAAAAGTTAAACCTAAAGTTACCATATGACCTAGCAATTTTATTTCTAGGCATATGCCCAAGAGAAATGAAAATATATAGCCACATAAAAACTTGTAATTAATGTTCACGGCAGCATTACTTGTAATAGCCAAAAAGTAGAAACAACTACATGTTTATCAACTGATTACTGGATAAATAAAATGTGGTATTATCCATGAAACGCAATATGATTTCTCAGTAAAAAGGAATGAGGTATTTGATGCATGCTACCACAGGAATGAACCTTGAAAACATTATGCCAGGTGAAAGAAGCCAATCACAAAAGACCACATATTACATGATTCCATTTATATGAAATGCCCAGAATAGGCTACACAGACGGAAAGTAGATTCGTGGTTCTATGACTGGAAGTTTGGGAAGATATGGGAAGTGATTGCTAATGGGTATGGGCTTCTCTCTAGGGTGATGAAAATATCCTAAAATTGACTGTGGTAATGATGGCTTCACAACTGTGAATATACTAAAATTCACTGAATTGTACATTTTAAATGGGTGTACATTTTATATAGTTCATCTAGTATATGAACAGTATCTCAAAAAGGCTGTTAAAAAAAAAAAAGACCGTTATGAATAGAAGTAAAGTAAATCGGCCGGGTGCAGTAGCTCACGCCTGTAGCCACTTTGGGAGCAGAGGCGGGTGGATCACCTGAGGTGAGGAGTTCGAGACCAGCCTGACCAATATGGTGAAACCCCGTTTCTACAAAAATTACAAAACAAAATTAGCTGGGCGTGGTGGCGGACGCCTGTAGTTCCAGCTACTTGGGAGGCTGAGGCAGGAGAATTACTTGAACCTGGGAGGCGGAGGTTGTAATGAGCCGAGATCGCACCACTGTACTCCAGCCTGGGCAACAGAGCAAGACTCCGTCTCAAAAAAAAAAAAAAAAAAAAAAAGAGACAGAAGTAAAGTAAATCTATTAACTTGTCCCAAATGACAGAAGAGTATACCATGTTTTAGTTGGCAAACCTAAACAAAAACTCTTCTGTACATGCCTTGAGCCCCCGAGGATAAACATTCCTTTAGATACAGAACATACTTTGCTCCTTAAAGAATAATTCGGCATTATAACAAAGTTTTTCCTCTGTTAGCAAAATGTGAACCAAGAAATTCACAAAAAGTTTCCATTTCCCTGTTTTTATTATTAGACATGGTCCAATAAAGTTTACTATCAGTGAAATATATAAGTTATGGGAATGGAACTCTCAATGGAAAAAAAGTGAAAAAAAATACTAGCTACCATAAAACATTTTCTAGTAACACAAGACAGTCCAATTAGTTTCTTGAACTCTCTATACCCAATCAAAAACCTTTAAATAGGTTACTTCTTAAATTACAGGCTGCATTCCTAATTCTAGCCAGCTGCCTTCTAAAAACATCTGCTTTTAGTCACAAGGAAAACAGGATATAAAAAAGGAATATATCAAGAGCAGAAGAAAACAATTCTAAATATGTATTTTGGTCAGCCACTTCACATATGAACAGTAGCACATTTCTGAATAAATGTTTAGAATATACATTATGAAGCGAATAAATTAGATGTTTTTCTTTGGTGTGACGTTTTTTCTTAATAGATTCAGAGGAAAAGAGGGTAAGCCCTTCCAGGGAGAGTTGGTTAGAGAAAGAGATGCCCTCCAAATGCTTCTGCTCCTGTTAGGGCTTCCTAGATCTATTATTAGAGAACACGCCTGGAAGGCTCAATCTTTACAACTGGGCAGGCTGCCTGTGGAAGATGCAAATTTAATTCAAGGTCAGTATGCCTTATCAAGTCCTTCTGCCTCAAAGTCCTGCCAAAGCTATGCAGACAATATGGATGATGTCTATTTTAAGTGAATATTTAGTGAGATAACTGTAAAAAAAACCAAACCAAAACAAAAAAGCATATGAGAACTGAGCCTTTTACGGAATGATTTCAGTTGTGAAACTATCCTACTCCCCTACAATAATGATTTACTGCTGGCAGTTATTCATGCTGAAATAACTGCTATTATTATTATTATTATTATTATTACAGACAGAGTCTCGCTGTCACCCAGGCTGGAGTGCAATGGGGCGATCTTGGCTCACTGCAACCTCTACTTCCCGAGTTCAAGCGATTCTCCTGTCTCAGCCTCCAGAGTAGCTGGGATTACAGGCATATGCCACCATGCCTGGCTAATTTTTGTATTTTCAGTAGAGATGGGGTTTCACCATGTTGTCCAGGCTGGTCTCGGACTCCTGACCTCGTGATCCGCCCGCCTTGGCCTCCCAAAGTGCTAGGGTTACAGGCATGAGCCACCACGCGTGGCCAACTGCTATTAATTTTTGAAATCAATAGTAGTGTTTCTCAACGCTTCTCTAACCTGGTGTGTTAGTCCGTTTTTGTGTTGCTATAAAGTAATACCTGAGACTGGGTAATTTATAAAGGAGGTTTAATTTGCTCACAGTTCTGCAGGCTGTACAAGCATGGCTCCAGCATCTGTTTTTGGCGAGGGTCTCAGGAAGCTTCCAATCATGGTGGAAAACAAAAGGAGAGCAGGCACGTCACATGGCGAGAGCAGCAGCAAGAGAGATGGAGAAATGGGGAGGTCCCGGCTCTTTTAAACAACCAGATCTCCCATGAACTGAGTGAGAACTCACTCATCAGCAAAGGGATGGCCCTAAGTCATTCATGAGCGATCTGCCCCCATGATTCCAAGACCTCCCACTAGGATCCACCTCCAACATTTCTTTTTTTAAGAGATGGAGTCTTGCTATGTTGCCCAGGCTGATCTCAAACTCCTGGCCTCAAGAGATCCTCCTACCTCAGACTCCCAAAGTGTTGGGTATTACAGGCATGAGCCACTGCACCTGGCCTGGAGGTCACATTTCAATATGAGATTTGGAGGGGACAAACATCCAAATCATGTAACTTGGTTTTATCTTTTGTCATTACATTTAAAAATTATTTTACTACTGTCAAAACTTATGTCACATAGCATCTCTTCAGTAAAAATCTCCCTACACAGGTCAAGAGAATTTCTCAAAATTGCTATGAGGAAATTCATGCTTTTGTAGGATACCATAAAATATTGATATGTTTAACCTCATTTTACAAACTAGAAGCTATTTTTCTAACAGAAAATATTATAAACATGCAAAACAAAATCATAGCCAATAACATGTATCCATAAAAGACAAACAAAACAAGCTGGTGAACTAGATATAACTGGATGTTAGCAAGATTTCTGCTGGATAAGCCTTCATTGATTTTGTCGTCTCAATAGTAGCAGACGCCAAAAGTTTAAAAACACATACTTGAGAAAAATGGATAATCCACGACATTTTTATCCAAATAAAGCCCTAGAAGTTGGCTTTTTATTTGAGCTGGGGGAAGACAACTTTTATTTCTAGAGCTTGGTTCAAGTATAAGAGTACAGTTAGTATTAACATTCAGCAGACTAGTTAAAGAACTATTGCTCTCAGGCAGCTGCCGAAGGTGGGATGAAGAGTTACATATAATGACACTGGGGGCCGGCCTTGCAGAAAAAGGTTAGCACACAAAAGTGGTGCTGTACAAGGGAGGAATATGGCACAGAACATTCGAACCACATCTACTTAAGGTGGCTATATATTCAAGCTTACCCAGTGCCCAGTGCTGACAACTAGATCATCCCTCGGAGATTACACGAACAATCAGACGTTTTCATTTGAAAGTTAGTTTACAGTTTAATTCTTCTCAAACCCTTCCTAACATACCAAAGGAAAACAGTAAAGCAGCCAGATGCTACCACAAAATAGTATCTCTTAAACCGCGAAACAGTAGAAGAGTTACCACAACATCCCAATGTCAACTACCTATGTAAACCATTTGTACCGAAGATATCATTTGGTCAGTTTAATCCAAGGATCTCTTTCCCTTAGGATCAAACTAGAAAGCCCACAATGTCCCCCTAGTTCCAGTTTAGATTCCAAGAGCGTTTCTTCTATTATATTTTCATTAATCTCAGAGATTACTGCTTGAATTTAAAAAAGATTATCCAAGTATTGTAACTAACACAAATTGAAGCATTTGGACTGTAGTGAAGGCGGCAATTAGACTGAGTTGGGAGACCTATGTGCTTTGCCTTGGTTTGTTCATATGTATTTGATAACTTTTTAAGGTACTCAATCTGTCTCAAAAAGTGTTTGATTCTAATTCAGAATCCTGGAGCCAGAATGTCTTGGTTGAAGTCCACTATTTGCTAGTTGTATGGCTTTGGGAAAGATAGTTACTTACCTCTCTGTCCCTTGACGTCCTTACTTACAAAATGGGGATAACAAATACAATCTACCTCAGAGGACTGTTATGAAGAATAAATAAATTAGTATGTATAAAGTACTTAGAAGAGTGCTTGTCCCATAAAGATTATTATGAGTGTTAGTTGTAGCCAGAACGCGTATTTATTGGCAATAAGATCCTTCCCTCAAATTTTGTTCTACATATTGGGGAAGATTGTATGCATGTGTAAATAGACGAGTTCTGGTTATCTGTACAGTGTCAAAATTTTCAAGAATTTTTGGGAGTTGATGTCAAATTACCAAGAGTAGTGACTCACCAAAATGAATAGCAAACAATGGTAGAGTTAATTTGATTCTATTTAAAGACTCCTACAAGAATTATTTATATTCTGCCGGGTGTGGTGGCACATGCCTGTAATCCCAGCACTGTGGGAGGCCGAGGCAGGTGGATCACTTGCGGTCAGGAGTTCAAGACCAGCCTGACCAATATGATGAAACCCCATCTCTACTAAAAATACAAAAATTAGCTGGGTGTGGTGGCATGTGCCTGTAATCCCAGCTATTCCGGAGGCTGGGACAGGAGAATCACTTGAACCCAGGAGGCAGAGGTTGCAGTGAGCCAAGATTGTGCCATCGCACTCCAGCCTAGGAACAAGAGCGAAACTCCCTATCAAAAAAAAAAAAGAATTATTTATATTCTTGAGAAGTATAGGTCTCAGTGAAAGGCTTCTTCAAGTAAGACAGTAGTTTTAAAGGATGCCTATATATTAGTGAAGTACATGAGCAGAGGGCTGGAGAACCACATCTTACTTTGGTGCTAGGACCTTACAGCCCTGTACTTGCTTAAGTCCATGGAGATAGTAATTACACAGAAGGTGGCCAAGGAATGACCACTAATACTAATACACACTTACCTCCTCTGACACCATCCAGTGTCACTGAAGTCTAGTTTCTTTTTTTCTTTTTTTGAGATGGAGTTTCGCTCCTGTTGTCCAGACTGGAGTGTAATGGTGCGATCTTGGCTCACCGCAACCTCTGCCTCCCGGGTTCAGGCAATTCTCCTGCCTCAGCCTCCCAAATAGCTAGGATTACAGGCATATGCCACCACGCCCAGCTAATTTTGTATTTTTAGTAGTGATGGGGTTTCTCCATATTGGTCAGGCTAGTCTCGAACTCCTGACCTCAGGTGATCCGCCCACCTCGGCCTCCCAAAGTGCTGAGATTACAGGTGTGAGCCAGAGCAACTGGCCAGTCTAGTTTCTTTTTTTAAGCAAGAATAAAAAGGTTTTCTTATTAAGATTCTGAAAAGAAGAAAGTAAAATGTACAAGTTTAATAAAAACAGGTTTTCTGGCCAGGCACGGTGGCTCATGCCTGTAATCCCAGCACTTTGGGAGGCCAAGGTGGGACAATCACTTAAGCCCAGGAGTTCAAGACCAGCCTGGGCCACATAGTGAGACCCTATCTCTACAAAAAAATTAAACAATTAGCCGGGTGTGGCGGTGCATAGTCCCAGCTACTCAGGGGGCTGACGTGGGAGGTTTGTTGGAGGTTGGGAGGTCAAAGCCTGCAGTGAGCCATGACTATGCCACTGCACTCTAGACTGGGTGTCAAAGTAAGACCCTGTCTCACAAAAAAGGGCCTTTCAAAATATTTTTAAGAAGCATTCTAAAGTATT